>NC_000022.11:37951988-38103503 GCF_000001405.40 Homo sapiens | reverse complement strand
TGCTGTGTGAGACATGGAATGAGCCATTTCTTCATGAAGCCCTGTTTTTACTTTTTGTTTTTAGTGCAAGTGGTATTTCAAAGCCATAATCTGAATACTAGTGGTGCTCATTGCCACTGGCTTGATCTTTGTTTCTAGGCTTTTTTGGTGGCTGTGCAACGCATAGATGGATACATATTTATATGCAATGTGTGTGTACACACATATAACACATATTCTCTCGCTCTGTCTCTTTATTTCTATTGCTGCTGGACAAATTCATCTTATTTATTTATTTATTTATTTTCAGAGGCAGAGTCTCACTCTGTCACCCAGGCTGAAGTGCAGTGGTACAATCATAGCTCATTGCAGTCTCCAACTCCTGGGCTCAAATGATCTTCCTGCCTCAGCCTCCCAAGTAGCTGGGACTATAAGAAAATGCCACCGTGCCTGGCTAATTTTTTTTTTTTTTTAATTTTGAGATGGAGTGTCACTCTGTCTCCCAGGCTGGAGTGCAGTGGTGTGATATCGGCTCACTGCAAGCTCCGCCTCCCAGGTTCACGCCATTCTCCTGCCTCAGCCTCCCGAGTAGCTGGGACCACAGGCGCCTGCCACCATGCCGGGCTAATTTTTTTTTTTTGGTATGTTTAGTAGAGACGGGATTTCACCGTGTTAGCCAGGATGGTCTTGATATCCTGACCTCGTGATCCACCCGCCTTGGTCTCCCAGAGTGCTGGGATTACAGGTGTGAGCCACCGCACCCGGCCGTGCCTGGATAATTTTTAAACTCTTTTTATAGAGATGAGGTCTCACTATGTTGCCCAGGCTGGTCTTGAACTCCTGGCCTCAAGCAGTCCTCCCATCTGGGCCTCCCAAAGTGCTAGGATCACTTTTAGACCATTGATTCATTTTCTTCTGTTTCATGGGCCTTTCTGGTGTGTTTTGGTTGTCAGTAGGAATGTTATTCTCTTCCATATTCTCTTTTTTCTAATAATAACTTTCTATTGGATTTCACCTCAGAGATTGTCTGTGGAAAAGTAGGTTTTTTCCTGAAATTGTAAAAGGAGCACAGTCAAGACAGCTCTTCTCACTTTGCAAGATCTCTTTCTGTTGTTCTTATGTAGTTTTCCAAAAATATGGCAGCTCCCTTTCTGCAATTTCCTGGTTCCGTTCATGCTCCTACTTTTGTTAGACTTTCTCTTTCCTTTTGTGTCTGTTGTCCTTGTTCCTGATTTTGATCCTCCTCACGGCATTCTCTCCTCCACATGGGCCCTGTCTGGATGGGAGCCTGGCTGGTCAGTTTCAAGACTTCCTAGAGGCTCGACTACTCCAGCCCCTTCAGACTTTACCAGGGACCTCTTACCTTCACCCTTTGGACTCACAAACTCCTTGGAGTTTCAGCTGCTGTTCACAGACTGGCCTACTGAGCTTCCCATGACCATCTGCTGGCCATGTCGGGGTGCACCTGTGCTCAGGTCCCTCAACGCCCAGCTACCTCCCACTGCTCCATCCACATGGATGCTGGTCACACTGACCTCACAGCCGGTGCTGATTTTTGTTTGGAGGGTTGTAGAGATATACTGTCATAGTTTTGTTCTGAATGTTGTCTTGAGTTTATTTTTTTCTTTTGGTGGTTTTGTTTGTTTTGTTTTGTTTGTTTGTTTGTTTTTTGAGACGGAATCTTGCTCTGTCACCCAGGCTGGAGTGCAATGGCGCCATCTCAGCTCACTGCAACCTCTGCCTCCCGGGTTCAAGCGATTCTCCTGCCTCAGCCTCCCAAATAGCTGGGATTATAGGCGCGTGCCACCATGCTCGGCTAATTTATGTACTTTTAGTAGAGATGGGGTTTCACTATGTTGGCCAGGCTGGTCTCAAACTCCTGACCTCAGGTGATCCACACACCTTGGCCTTCCAAAGTGCTGTGATTACAGGCATGAGCCACTGTGCCTGGACTTTTTTTTTTTTTTTTTTTTTTTTTGAGACAGGATCTCACTGTGTCACCCAGGCTGGAGTACAGTGGTGCAGTCACAGCTCATTGCAGCCTAGACTTCCTGGGCTCGGGCAATCCTCTCACCTCAGCCTCCCAAGTAGCTAGGACCACAGGCATGAACCACCACGTCTGGCTTTTTTTTTTTTTTTTTTTTTTTTTTTTTATGTAGAGACAGCATCTTACTATGTTGCCCAGGCTGGTCTGGAACTCTTGGGCTCGAGCAATCCTCCCACCTCAGCCTCCCAAAGTGCTGGAATTACAGGTGTGAGCCACTGTGCCTGGCTAGTCTTAAGTTTTTTATTTTGCTGTCTGGTTTCTCCATTCATTTTTAGGAGAAGATGAAGGAAGGTTTTGAAACTACATTTTATTTCCACCATCATCCCAGACCTGAGTTTTTTTTTCTACTGAGGTAAAGTTTACATACAATAAGATGAAGTTCCTAAATATGTTGAGTGTTAAGTTCAACAGATTTTGACAATTGTATGCCCTGTGTGGCCACCATGTTAAACAGGATTTATTTAGAACGTTTCCATCAACCCAGAAAGTTCTCTTATGTCCCTTTTGTCAGTGTCGCCCCCTAGGGGCAAAGGCTTTCTGACTTCTATCTCTGCAGATGAATTTTGCCTGTTCTAGTGCTTCGTTTGAGTGGAACTGTGCCCTGTATATTCTTTTGTGTCTAGCTTCTTTCACTCAGCATAAGGTCTGTAAGATTAATTCATGTTGTTGCATTGTATGAATCTGTTTGTGTCACTATCAAGGAATACCTGAGACTGGGTAATTTATAAGGAAAAGAGGTATATTTTGGCTCATGGTTCTGCAAACTGTACAAGCATGGCACCAACATCTACTTAGCTTCTCATGAGGGCCTCAGGAGGCTTACAATCATGGCGGAAGGTGAAGGGGTAACAGGTGCGTCACATGGCAAGACAGCAAGAGAGAGAGTGGGGAGGTGCTAAGCTTTATTTATTTATTTATTTATTTATTTATTTATTTATTTATTTATTTATTGAGACGGAGTTCCACTCTGTTGCCCAGGCTGGCATGCAGTGGTGCGATCTCGGCTCACTGCAACCTCCGCCCCCTAGGGTTCAAGCGATTCTCCTGCCTCAGCCTCCCGAGTAGCTGGGATTACAGGCAGCCGCCACCAGGCCCAGCTGATTTTTTTATTTTTAGTAGAGACGGGGTTTCAGCATGTTGGCCAGGCTGGTCACAAGCTCGGCCTCCCAAAGTGCTGGGATTGCAGGTGTGAGCCACCACGCCTGGCCTGAGTTCACAAAATTTAAGGAGGCAGTGCTGTGACATTCACACTAGCGCAGGGTCGGGAAGGCTTCCTTTTGATTGGATCCAGCGGAAAGCGGCCCCTCAGAAGCATCTACCTGGCATTTCTATAACAACGCACGTTTCTGTTCACCGTTGTATCACTCTGGAAACCTACGTGCCACTTCCTTCTTGGTGCTGACACCCTTCTCTACACACACACTGGCAGCCATAGCTCAGGGTTTCAGTACCAAAGAGGCACCCTCAAGCTCCCTTGCAGACTAGTGGGCACCAAAGTTTGGGAAATAACTGTGGGAGAAAACCTTAAACTTTAGAAATTTTATTATGTAGTGATTTTTTTCTGCATATTGGGAGGAGATTGCCAGCATTCCTTTTCTGGGCGATCCCCTAGCCCCGTGGGATGATGTGAGGACACCTAGAGCAGGAGGAAGGACCCACTGTGGGAAAAGGGTGTGTGGACAGAGGCTGCGCAGAGGCGGGAGGGCCTCCAGAGGAGGACGTGTCCGCGGGGTTGGGGAAGCACCTCTTGTGTCCCATGCAGCCTGAACCCTCCTGCAGCTGGAAGGGTTTAGGTCCAACTGCCCAACAACATGGAGTGACTCAGAGAAAGCTGATGGAGAATACAGGGTACCAGGGCATCACCTGGGCCCACAGAATCGAAGCTCATCAAGCTCTCAGAGAGCAGCTGGTCAAGCCTTTCCTTTTTCTTTTTTTTTTTCTTTTGAGACAGAGTTTCACTCTGTCACCCAGGCTGGAGTGCAGTGGCGTGATCTCCGCTCACTACAACCTCCGCCTCCCTGGTTCAAGTGATTCTCCTGCCTCAGCCTCCTGAGTAGCTGGGATTACAGGCACGCACCACCATGCCTGGCTGATTTTTGCATTTTTAGTAGAGATGGGGTTTCACCATGTTGGCCAGGCTGGTCTCGAACTCCTGGCCTCAGGTGATCCACCCACCTCAGCCTCCCAAAGTGCTGGGATTACAGGCGTAAGCCACCATGCCCAGGCTGGTCAAGCCTTTCCTGTTACAGATGGGGCAACTGAGGCCCAGAGATGGGTGGCAACTTGTCCAAAGTCACAAAGCAAATAGGAGGCAGAACTAGAATGAGGACGAAGCTTCTGAGCCTGAGCCCAGCAGCCTTTCCTGTCCTGCCCCGGTGGCCAGACATCCACTTGCCATGGGAACCTGTCACCTCCCAGGCCCATCTGAGACCTCAACAGCTTCTGAGTGTTTTTGCTGGGCTGTGCCCTGCCCATGGTGCTGAGGACACAGAGGTGAGCCATGGCCATAGCAGCTCCAAGGGGCTATGCATGGGGCCCTGGCCATAAATTCTGTATACAACTGGAGGAATGGACAACGAAGGAACAAATGTGCACCCATTCCAGAGACAAAACGAGGGAGCAATGGATTCTGCTTGGGAAAGTCAGGAAGACAGGAAGCTGGCACTGGAAGATAGGGAGGAAATTCCAGGCAGAGGGAATGATGTCATCAAAGCACAAACTAAGAATAAGACAAAAAATAAGAACCAGAAGACTCTGACACACTTATCAAGGGTTCGTTTCCAGGCAGCACTGCACTAAACATTGTGAATGTTTAACCATTTCGTCCTCCCTCCAGCCAGGTGGTGTTCTTGTCTCCGTTTCTCTGACAGGTGGGCAGGTGCCTGGTATATTAGGAGCACGATGGGCAGTCTGTTATAGCAGAAAGTGCAAGGGGGTGCTGGGGCCTGGGAACAGTAGGGGGGCCTTGATCACCCTCACCCTGCACTCCGCTCAGGTGCAGACATTCCATGGAGGCCTGCTGCAGCACATGGAGAAGAACACCAAGCTGGACATGCAGTTCATCAAAGTGAGTCTGGCCTCCCCACTCGGCCCCCAACTCACTGCAGGCAGGACCCCCTCTCCCATTTGACAGGTAGGCACACACAGGCCAGTGCTGAGCACTGACTGGGCCCCAGATTATCCATGTTCCCAGCTGAGCCCCAAGTCTCCAAACTTCCAGGGCCCTGATCTCTGGGAGGGGTGTCTTGAGCTCTCTGATGTGGGGGGATTCTCCCTCCCCGACTCCACCCTACCCCAGGACAGCCGCCAGCACTATGAGCTCGAGTACCGCCACCGAGCGGCCAACCTGGAGAAGTGCATGTCTGAGCTGTGGCGCATGGAGCGCAAGAGAGACAAGAACGTGCGGGAGATGAAGGTGCGAGGGCCGGGAAGCGGGGGTGGGCCAGGAAGGGCGGGTGGGCAGACCTCGGGGCGAGACCGGGCCCTGGGAACCCCGAACGCCTCCCTGAGCTCCCCCACCGAGCACCAGCCCAACTGTGATGAGCGTGGCTGGGGAGGTCAGCCAGCCCCTGGTGGGGTGGGCGTAACTAGCTCCTAGGGCCACGCCCAGCACCGCCCCTTGCCCTGTGGCTTACTGGCCTTACCCAGAATCCCCGGGCCTCTCCTGCAAACCCATCCCACCTCCCCCATCTCCTACTTCACCGAGAAAATTGCTCGCTTGAACATGGTGCCAAAGGTGTCATCCACCAGCCGCCCATCCTCCTCCCCTCTCTCCTGCCTGGCAGAGGTATCCCGCCCCCGGCTAGGGCCATTCCCCTTCCTGAGCCTGGGGCCCCATCCCTGGCCTCTGTCTCCAAGATCCAAACCCATGGATTAACCCTCTGCCTCCCTTCCCGTCTCTTCTGGCTCCTTTAAGTGAGCTCACGCCTCCCCTCCTCAGAATCTTCCCCCCAAGTAGGGGCTATTAACCTACTCATTCATATTCTCATTAAACCCGTCCCCCTGCCCCCCCAGCCCGTGCTTGGGCTTGTGCTGGGTGCCAGGGACAGAGCGAAGGCTCAGACAGCAGCCCTGCTTGTGAGAAGCACCTGGGAGAGGGAGACGCAGGGCCCAGACTCATAACAAGGCTGCTGATGATGGGGCAGGCTCAGGAGCTAGGATGGGCCGGGTGATGGGGGGTGGGCTTGGGGAGAGGGCAGTCAGGAAGAACAGGGGGCTTGAACAGCTGGCGCCTGTGGGCGAGGGGGGTGGGATGAGACACACCCACCGCCCCCAGCCAGAACTCCCGTTCCCCCCCAGGAGAGTGTGAACCGGCTGCACGCACAGATGCAGGCCTTCGTGTCTGAGAGTCAGCGGGCGGCTGAATTGGAAGAGAAGCGGCGCTATCGCTTCCTAGCAGAGAAGCACCTGCTACTTTCCAACACCTTCCTGCAGTTCTTCGGCCGGGTGAGTTGGACTGGGGGGCAGCAAGCGGGGCGCTTCTAGGAGCTGCCCCCTCCTGAGTGGCCGTACATAGAGGTTTCCCTCCCTTCTTCCCTCTTCCCTCCCTGCCTGCCTGTCTGTAGAAATTCATTTTATTTTGCTATCTCCATCCATTTCTTCCTTTGTTTCTGGGTTTGCTTGTATCACTGTATATTCACTCATTTATTCACTCGTGATATTGTTTGTTTTTAATGCATTCACGAATTCATGCATTTATTTATTCATGTGTGGACCATTTTTTAATTCCTGTTTGTATATTCTCACAATTCACAAATTCATTGATAGGTGTGCTCAGTTATCGTCTATTAATTTTATCATATTATTTATTTATTTATTTTTTGAGACAGAGTTTCACTCTTGTTGCCCAGGCTGGAGTGCAACGGCACAATCTCGGCTCACTGCAACCTCTCCCTCCCGGGTTCAAGCGATTCTCCTGCCTCAGCCTCCCGAGTAGCTGGGACTACAGGCATGTGCTATCACGCCCGGCTAATTTTTGTATTTTTAGTAGAGACGGGGTTTCGCCATGTTGGCCAGGCTGATCTCAAACTCCTGACCTCAAGCGATCTGCCTGCTTCGGCCTCCCAAAGTGCTGCGATTACAGGCATGAGCTACCATACCCAGCCATTTTATCATATTATTTAAATCCTCTATGCTCTTGCATTGTTCTGTCTGCTAGACTAGTCAGACTCTCTCATCTCTCATTGGATTTCTAATAGATTTCACTTTCTGAATTGAGCTGCCATGTTGTTTGGCGTTTTTTGGCTATAACTATTCTACCTTCTTTGTAAATATTGCCATTTATGTACTTAATGTCTCTCTTAAGTTTGATGCTTTTAATTCCGCCTTGTCTGATATTAATACTGCTCTATTTTCTCTTCTCTTTGCTTATCTCTTTGTATGTTAAGTATACTTTCTGTTACTGACTTTTGAGTTTTTGACCAGTCTTACAGTCTGTGTCTTCTAATAGAAAAGGAATTCAGCCCATTCCCATTTAACATAATAATGAAGATACCTGGGTTTTATTCCTTTTAGATAACTTGAGCTAACTGTATTTACTTTGTCATTTCCTCTTTTTCTCCCACACTATTTCTTGTCAGTTTGGTTGAGTTATTATACTATACATTCCCCTTTTCCCTTTATTAATTTAGAAATTGCACTATTTTTTTCTCTCTACCTGTGGTGACCTCACTTTGTGACTTTCATAATCACATATATATCCACCTATTTTCCAAAAATGCCAACTTCACCCTACTACAGACACACACTGTTCAGTCCATCGCTCCGCCAATTCATAAGATGAGACCTTGATTTAAAGCTTTCCACAAAAATTAGGCTGGGCGCGGTGGCTCACACCAGTAACCCCAACACTTTGGGAGCGCGAGGTGGGTGGATCGCTTGAGGTCAGGAGTTCGAGACCAGCCTGGCCAACATGGCGAAACCCCGTTTCTACTAAAAATACAAAAATTAGCTGGGCGTGGTGGCAGGCACTTGTAATCCCAGCTACTCAGGAGGCTGAGGCAGGAGCATTGCTTGAACCTGGGAGGCAGAAGTTGTAGTGAGCCAAAATCAAGCCACTGCACTCCAGTCTGGGCGACAGAGTGAGACTAAGTCTCAAAAAAAAAGATGAGATAATACCTTAAGAAGTATTTTCCTGCCCTCCAACTATTCTGAGGTGGGGCCTTTGGAAAGCTTTTACTCCTGTCTTCATCCTTCCCATCCTCCACTTCCTGGTTTTGCCAAGATAGTTTAGGACTTAGTTTCAGACCTCACTAGTCATCTCTGCAGCATGACCCTTGTATTTTGATAAACTGATTTTATTTATGTGTGTATGTATTTATTTATTTTGAGACGGAGTCTTGCTCTGTTGCCCAGGCTGGAGTGCAGTGGCGCAATCTCAGCTCCCTGCAACCTCCACCTCCCAGGTTCAAGTGATTCTCCTGCCTCAGCCTCCCAAGTGCTGGGATTACAGGTGTGCGCCACCATGCCCAGCTAATTTTTGTATTTTTAGTAGAGACAGGGTTTCACCATGTTGGCCAGGGTGGTCTCGAACTCCTGACCTCAGGTGATCCACCTGCCTCGGCCTCCCAAAGTGCTGGCATTACAGGCATGAGCCACCACGCCCGGTCCTGGCTTGGGGTTCTTATCCCTCCCACGCCTCCCACGCCTCCCACGCCCTCCCCGAGTCTCTGGATCTGAACCCACGGGCCCAGGGATACATGACTGGATCCAAAGACCCAGATTTCGGCTCAGGCTCTCATCTGCCCACTGTCACCGCCTCACCCGGCCCCAGGCTCAGCCTTCTCGTCCCCTGCTATCCCACAAAAGGTCTGCCAGGGAGAAACAACTTCCTTTTTTGAAAAACAGTTTTATTGAGATATAATTCACATACGATTCACCCATTTACAGTGTACACTTTCTGGTTTGTAGTATATTCACAGAGTCATGCATCCATCACCACTATCAAGCTTAAAATATTTTCAATACCCTCCACCACAGTAACCCAGTACCTCGGCCAGGCGCGGTGGCTCACACCTGTAATCCCAGCACTGTGGGAGGCCGAGGCGGGTGGATCACCTGAGGACAGGAGTTCGAGGCCACCCTGGCCAACATGGTGAAAACCCGTCTCTACTAAAAATACAAAAGTTAGCCAAGCGTGGTTGTACATGCCTGTAATCCCAGCTACACAGGAGGCTGAGACAGGAGAACTGCTTGAACCCAGGAGGTGGAGGTTGCAGTGAGCCAAGATTGCACCACTGCACTCCGGCCTGGACAAGAGCGAAATTCCGTCTCAAAAAAAAAATACAAACCGGTACCCCTTAGCTGTCATTCCCAATCCTCCCACTCCCCCAGCCCCAGGCCACCAGGAATCTACTTTCTGTCTCAATACATTTGCCCATTCTGGACATTTCATATAAACAGAATCATACAATGTGTGTGCTCTTTTGCGACTGGCTTCCTTTTCACTGCTGGATAATATTCCATTGCTTGGATACACCACATTGTATTTACTCGTTTACTCGATGTATTTACTCAGATGTTAGCTGATGGACGCCTGGTTGTTTCCACTCTTTGGCTGTCATGACCACTGCTGCGCTGAGCATCCATGTACGAGTCTTCATGTGGACATATGTTTTCATCTCTCTTGGGTATATAAGAGTAGAATTGTGGGGCCATATGGTAACTCTATGTTTAACTGTTTGTGGAACTTCCAGACCGTTTTCCGGAGTGTTTCCGTGTCCATCAGCAGTTTATGAGGGTTCCAGTTGTTTCACGTCCTCGCTACTATTTGTTACTGTCTTTTTGATAATAGCCATCCTAGCAGGTGTGAAGCGATATCTGATTGCAATATTGATTTCCGGTTCCCAGATGGCTAGTGATGTTAAACATGTTTTCCTGTGCTTCTTAGCTATTTATAGATCTTCTTTGGAAGGAAACTCTTTTTCACCTGTGTTAAACTCCTTTTTGCCTGTAAATAGTTAACCATCAACATTAAGAGAAGAGCTGACCCCCTCCTTGACTGCCTCCTCGTGGGTGAGGGTCCCTCAGGAGGGAGCTGTGGGTTGAACAGGCAGATTTTCCCCTATGCATGGTGTGTTAGTCCGTTGTGCATTGCTATAAAGGAATACCTGAGGCTGGGTAATTTATTTTAAAAGATGTTTATTTGGCTCTCAGTTCTGCAGGCTGTACAAGAAGTGCATTGCCCGCATCTGCTCCTGGCGAAGCCTCTAGAAGCTTACAATCATGGCAGAAGGCAAAGGGGAAGTTCATATCACATGGCCAGAGAGGGAGCCGGTGGGGTGCCACACTCTTTCTTTTTTCTTTTTATTTTAAGATGGAGTTCTGCTCTTGTTGCTCAGGCTGGAGTGCAGTGGCATGATCTCAGCTCACTGCAACCTCCACCTCCTGGGTTCAAGCGATTCTCCTGCCTCAGCCTCCTGAGTAGCTGGGATTACAGGCATGCACCACCATGCCCGTTAATTTTTGTATTTTTAGTAGAGACGGGGTTTCACCATGTTGGCCAGGCTGGTCTTGAACTCCTGACCTCAGGTGATCCACCCACCCACCTCGGCCTCCCAAAGTGCTGGAATTAAGGTGTGAGCCACCGCGCCCGGCCACTGCAATCTTTTAAACAAGGAGATCTTGCATGAACTCATACCACTCATTACCGTGGGGTACAGCACCAAGCCATTTATGAGGGAGCTGCCCCCATCACCTCCCACTAGATCCCACCTCCAACACTGGGGGGTCAGATTTCAAGATGAAATTTAGAGAGGACAAATATCCAAACCATATCACATAGGGAGCAAGTAACATGTTGTCTGACCCAGCTGGACTTTAAAACATCCAAGATCTAACTCCTAAGATAGCTAAGCATATATATTTACTTCTTGTTCTATTTATAAGTAGAAGGCACATTTGGGGTGGGCGTGGTGGCTCATGTCTGTAATCCCAGCACTTTGGGAGGTCGAGGTGGGTGGATCACCTGAGATCAGGAGTTCAAGACCAGCCTGGCCAACATGGTGAAACCCCGTCTCTACTAAAAATACAAAAATTAGTCAGGAATGGTGGCGGATGACTGTAATCACAGCTACTCGGGAGGCTGAGGCACGAGGATGGCTTGAACCCGGGAGGCAGAGGTTGCAGTGAGCCGAGATTGCGCCACTGCACTCCAGCCTGGGCAACAGAGCAAGGCTCGCTCTCTCTCTCAAAAAAAGAAGGCAGCCTTAGAATAAGATTTAAAGAACTCTAGGTGCCCGGGCACGGTAAATTGTCTTTCTTATTCATCTTCGCTAATTAGTCTTTGCTTAGTCCAAGTCTAGTCAGTAACGTGCCTTCCCACCTCATCCTTAGCTTCTCTCGTTTACTGCAGCTGTGCAAATGTATCTCCAGGATAAATTCCTAGAAGTGGAATTGGTAAGCCCAAGAATATAGTCATTGGTTGCACCAGTTTACACTTCCATCAGTGATGTATGAGTTTCTGTGCTTCTGCACCCCTTGACAACAGTGTATGAGCAAACTTTCTGATCTTGGCTAATTAGAAAGGTAAAAATGGTATCTCGGTGTGGCTTTACCTCATACTTGTCTTAAACGCGAGCTTGACATCTTTTCATGTTTCAAAGCCATTGGATTTTCTGTGCTGTGACATGCCAGTATCTTTTCATCCACTTATTAATTTGTAGGAGCTCTTGATATGTTACTGAAACCAGCTTTTTCTTGGTGATGAGTTGCAAATACAATAGCCAGTTTGCCATTATCATTTGCCTGTGTTATGATTGGTTTTGCTATACAAAAACATTATTTTTATTTAGTAAAATGTATCGGTCTTTTCAAGTTTATGGGTTTGGTGTCATACTTAGAATGGCTGTTTCACTTCGTAAATATATTTTTAAAATTTTTCCCATGGCCTCTCTGATGGTTTTGAAACCGTATGCAGTGTTTCTTCTCACCCACCATTTATTTTAATTTTTGTGGTACATAGTAGGTGTATATATTTATGGGGTACATGAGGTGTTTTGATACAGGCATGCAATGTGTAATCATGACATGCTGGAGAATGGGTATCCATCCCCTCAAGCATTTATCCTTCGTGTTACAAACAATCCAATGATACTTTTAAATCCCTTTTAAAATACGACATGTGACTGGGTGCAGTGGCTCACACCTGTAATCCCAGCACTTTGTGAGGCTAAGGCGGGTGGATCACGAGTTGAGGACTTTGAGACCAGCCTGGCCTATATGGTGAAACCCTGTCTCTACTAAAAATACAAAAATTAGCCAGGAGTGGTGGCGCACGCCTGTAGTCCCAGTTACTTGGGAAGCTGAGGCAGAATAATCACTTGAAGCCGGGAGGCGGAGGTTGCAGTGAGCCAAGATCGTGCCACTGCACTCCAGCCTGGGCAACAGAGCGAGACTCTGTCTCAACAACAACAACAAGAAAGATATGCAGAACCTAATGCTCTCACTTTGCTTATGTCTCTGAAACTTCTGCACAAAGGCCTTCGGGTTTTATCTTTGTGCTATTCTGCTAATTAGTTACTGCAGGGAAACAGAGGGGCTGTCCACTTAGTGACCAGCTAGACTAGTTGCTCCAGTGATGGGAGGCACCAAGCCTTCCCGTTATTGCTGCCTGAGTTTGACGTGAGGTTTTTAGTCATGGGGCCAGGTTCAAGGCAGAAATCATTGAAAGTGTAGTCGTAGGGGGCATCTTCAAGGACAGACCAACACAGACCCCTTCAACGCTTACTGAATGTGACACCTTGAGCCAGTCACTTAACTTCTCTGACCCTCAGTATCTTCTTTTATAAACTGGAGATAATAATTGCACCTACCACCCAGGGCTATTGCGAGAATCAAGTAAGATAATGCAGATAAAGCGTTTAAAGCAGGGCCTGGTATGGAGTCACTGCTCGACAAAGGGAGCTTTTCTTAAGGTGACCGTCTTGAGCTAGGCCTTGAGGGACAGGGATGTTTGAAAAGAGGGAGCGATCTTTATGGCTGGAGAATGCAGCATTCTGATTGTACCTGGGATTTTATTATGACTGAGTGACAACACAGAAAGGTCAGTGCCATTGAAAGAAGTTTTAGGCCAGGCTCGGTGGCTCACGCCTGTAATCCCAGCACTTTGGGAGTCCGAGGGCAGGCAGATCACCTGAGGTCAGGAGTTTGAGACCAGCCTGGCCAACATGGTGAAACCCCGTCTCTACTAAAAATACAAAAATTAGCTGGGCATGGTGGCAGGCGCCTGTAATCCCAGCTACTCGGGAGGCTGAGGAAGGAGAATGGCATGAACCCGGGAGGCGGAGCTTGCAGTGAGCCGAGATCGCGCCATTGCACTCCAGCCTGGGCGACAGAGCCAGACTCCGTCTAAAAAAAAAAAAAAAAAAAAAAAAAAAAAATGCATTTTCCATAGTGTTACTGGGTAAGTAAGTAATGGGACTGGGTTCTTTGGTCGTAGTTTCTATCTAAGCGCCATTCCTGAGCCTATCGCTGCAGGAAGGAGGATGGGGTGATTGAGTGGCCAGGCCTGGGTGCCACCCCTACCCCTGAAGCTGGGCGGTGAGGACAGCCCCGCTCAAAGCACACACATTGACGCGGGAAGCGGGGGGTCAGAGGAAGCTCTTCGTGGAAAATGGAGGTGCCTTTGCCAAAAGTAGAGGGTGCGGGTTGGACGGTGAGCTGGCTTCTGGCTCCTTCCAGCTAGAAAATCCGGTCGTCCCGAGCTGGTAGGGCCTGAGCTCTCAGGTCGAGGGTGTCATTTTGGGTCCCCAGGATTCAGGGAGCCGCCCGGACCTGGCTGACCCCCGTGTCCCCGCCCGGCCAGGCCCGGGGGATGCTCCAGAACCGCGTGCTGCTGTGGAAGGAGCAGTCTGAGGCCAGCCGCAGCCCGTCGCGCGCCCACTCCCCCGGCCTGCTGGGCCCCGCGCTGGGGCCGCCCTACCCCTCGGGCCGCCTGACGCCCACCTGCCTGGACATGGTGAGGCCCTGGGCGCCCCCGCCGCCGTTCGCGCCCCCGCCGCCCCCCGCGGGGGCCCGGGGCCTCAGGCCCCCAGCCTGGAGCCTCCTGCCCCCCAGGCTCCCGCTCTACGCTGCATCCCCCGGCCTGCCCTTCCGCCCCGGCGCGTTCTCCGCGCCCCCGTGGTGGCCCGGTCTCCGCCCCCAGAACCCCTACGCCGACGCCTGGGACTGGGGGTGGGGGCTGGACTAGGGCGCGGCCCCGCCCCCCCCCCCCCCCGCCCCACCCTCCCCTGCCCATCTCCCCCGCAGCCCCCGAGGCCCCTGGGAGAGTTCAGCTCCCCCCGCAGCCGGCACGGCTCCGGCTCCTACGGCACCGAGCCCGACGCGAGGCCCGCGTCCCAGCTAGAGCCAGACCGTCGCTCCCTGCCCCGCACGCCGTCGGCCTGTGAGTGCCCCCGCCCCGGGGCGGCAGGAGGGCCGGGAGAGGCGCGGGGGTGGGGCTGCAGCAGGAGGGATCGAGGGCAGACGCCAGGAAGAACTTCCTGCCCACGTGCCGCCGCGCTCTCCCGCCCACAGCCTCGCTCTACAGCGGCAGCGCCCAAAGCTCGCGCTCCAACTCCTTTGGCGAGCGCCCGGGCGGCGGCGGGGGCGCCAGGAGAGTCCGCGCCCTGGTCTCCCACTCGGAGGGCGCCAACCACACGCTGCTGCGCTTCTCCGCTGGGGACGTGGTGGAGGTGTTGGTGCCCGAGGCCCAGAACGGCTGGCTCTACGGCAAGCTGGAGGGCTCGTCCGCGTGAGTGGGAGCCTTGGAGGGGCCGGGGGTGGGTTGAGAAGAAGGCCCTGGGGGCCGGGAACCCGGGGACCTGCCGGACTGAGGTTTCCCTGGCCTCCCCCGGGGGCCTCGGACAATGCTCCTCTCCTCCCGACCCCCGCACCCTGCCTCAGTTTCCTCATTCATTCAGTGGGAGTAGGAAGAGCCGCCTTACCAAGTTCAGGATGACGGTCCTTGAGAGCGGGCAGAGGATGGGGGATGGGCAGGTTCTTCCAAAAGTGTGGAAATGGCAGAAATCCTATTGCTTGAGCACCTACTGTGTGCCTGCCTCTGGGAGGAGGCTGCTTCCCCTCTGCAGAGTCAGCCCTGGAACTCTGATGCAGGGGGCTGGGCTGGGAGTAGGGGCTTAAATGTGCTCACCTCTTTGCGGTCAGGCTCCGTGGAAATCCTGAAAGCACTTAAACTGGGCTGTTTTGACACTTGACGTGGAGGAGGATTTGGGGAGTTTCATACAGTGAGGTTGCCAGAAAGTGCGGAGGACAGCAGGGCTGGCAGCTAGCAGAGGGAATGGACAGGCACCACTGTCCTGCAGGGGAAAACGGGGCAGATGGGGCTGGCTGGAGCCAGGCAGTGCCCCCTCGGGGCTTCATGGGCAGGGTAGTGTACGGTGCCCACTCCTGCTGCAGGAGAGAAGCAGCGCAGGATGAATGCGTGCATGGGCAGAGCGGGTGGTGGCTGCCCACACCAGCCCACGGATGGATGAGTGGTCCTGTGCTTAATGGATGGTGGACAGGCGAATGGGTGGACCAGGGGATGTGCGTCTGGGTAGGTGGAGGTCTGTGTGTGCAAGTGGATGGCCTTAAATGGCGGGGGGGGGGTCACTGACTGGGTGGTTAGGGACATGGGAGGATGCGCAGATGTGGTGGACAGACACTGATGGGTGATTGGAGAGGTGTGAGTGGTGAGGGGGTGCTGGATGGATTCGTGGCTACACGGGGGATGGAGTATAGACAGGTGAGTGGGGGATAGGTGATGTATGGAGGGACTCATAGTTAGGCGCGAAGGTCCATAGCTGGGCGGGTGACCACAGGGACAGGAACGGAAGGGGGTCAGTGGGGAGAGAGATGACTGAGAACGCCAACGATAGGGACACCTGCTGCTGGAGTGGCTGCTTCACAGACCCACAGCAGAGGACGGTGTGCTGCAGATGCCTTGGGGACCTGAGGATAGAACCTTCTAGATGGAGGCTGTCACACCCTCCTGGGATGTTCTGGGACCATCGTTCCATCCTTGACTCACATAGCCTGTTAGGGAAAAGGATAGCGTGTGTTATTATCAGTAGGCACTTGCAGGTGAAAACAGAAGTAAACATACGGAATTGATTGTAGTCTGTCAATTCGAGGTGAAGTAGCTTCCAGTGACCCTGAGGGGAGGATGTCTTCTTTTGGTCATTGTCCCCAGGCCTGGCTTCTTTTGGTCATTGTCCTCTGCCTCTACCCCACAGGAGCGGTTGGTTCCCCGAGGCGTACGTGAAGGCTCTGGAGGAGGGGCCCGTGAATCCCATGACCCCCGTGACCCCCATGACCTCCATGACCTCCATGTCCCCCATGACACCCATGAACCCCGGGAACGAGCTGCCTTCCAGGTACCTGAGTCATCAGGGGTGGGGCGGGGGTGAGGACGCCGGCAAGGGTGTCACTGCCCAGCGGAGAGGATCTGCAAGGTGCAGGCTTGTTTTTTTGTTTTTTTGTTTTGTTTTGTTTTTTTTTTTTTGAGACAGAGTCTCACCCTGTCACCCAGGCTGGAGTGCAGTGGCGCCATCTTGGCTCACTGCAACCTCTGCCTCCTGCATTCAAGCGATTCTCCTGCCTGAGCCTCCTGAGTAGCTGGGATTACAGGCACACACCACCACACCTGGCTACTTTTTGTATTTTTAGTAGAGACAGGGTTTCACTATGTTGGCCAGGCTGGTCTTGAACTCCTGACCTCAGGTGATCCACCCACCTCGGTCTCCCAAAGTGCTGGGATTACAGGCGTGAGTCACTGCACCCAGGTGGCAAGGTGCAGTCTTGAGTGGGCCCAGCCCCCTTCAGCCCCTGGAGAACCACCGGCCCTGAGCCCCTCTCTCTGCCCTGAAGGTCACTGCGTCCATCCCTCTGCCTCCTCTCAGGACCTCCCTCCGGTCAACAGTCTCCTTTCATGCAGGTGCGGGGAGGAAGCTGTCGGATGCCTCCTGCCTAAGGTGCCCCAGCTACTGGCAGGACAAGGGATTGGACAGGCCCCAACCCCTTTCCTTCCCCCTCCTTTCTCTGGACTTAGGTCCTACCCACTCCGGGGCAGCCACAGCCTCGATGACCTCCTGGACCGGCCGGGCAACTCCATAGCACCCTCGGAGTACTGGGATGGCCAGTCCCGCTCCCGCACCCCAAGCCGGGTGCCAAGCCGTGCCCCCAGCCCTGCACCTCCACCCTTGCCCAGCAGCCGCCGCAGCAGCATGGGCAGCACAGCAGTTGCCACTGACGTCAAGGTGAGCCCTTGCCCGCCCTCTCTTGGGGCCTCCAGCGGGCAGGGAGGCAGGAGAGCAGGGATCCCGAGGCTCTGTCACCGGCTGTCTGGCAGGGGACCCGCCTACCTGGCCTCACTCAGTCTGTTCCTCAGTGCAGGGAGGGGTGGTGTGGGGCTGAGTCTGGGCTGAAGGGGAAGACCAGGGTCCCAGGACAGGGTGTGGCCTGGGGCTAGCCAGTAGGACGGGGCTGGGGGAGGCCAGGGAGGGCATCTCCGATGGAGCCACCCCGGTCTTATCCTGGGGGCGTGGTTAGTCCTTGGAGGTGGTGCTCTGGCCTAGGGGTTTCTCACTTCTGCAACCCACAGAATTCTGGGCTTCAGAACGTCAGGGTCTCATTTTCCAGGAGCCTGGCATGGCAGGGGCTCTCTGGCCCAGTCCTCTGCCCTTGGGCATGGGGAGAGGGAGGGGAGGAGCAAGGGATTGCTTGCCCCTCTCCCCACCAAACCAGCCCTTCCCCACCCCCACTGCAGAAACTGATGTCCTCAGAGCAGTACCCACCACAGGAGCTCTTCCCGAGGTGAGTCCTCACATGGGGGCCCAAACAGTGAGGAGGGTGGCAGGTGCGGCGGCACACACTTGTAGTCCCAGCTACTAGGGAGACTGGGGCAGGAGGATCTCTTGATTCCAACAGTTCAACATCAGCTTGAGCAACACTGTGAGACCCTATCTCTTAAAAGAAAAAAAAAGATGAAGCGGGGCAAGGAGTGGATGGAGACCAAATAGGGGCAGGAGGCAGGACCCAGCTCAGTTGCCCAGCTGCCTTCCTGAGCCATGGCCAGGTGGGGATCATCTGCCCTTCTCACCCCATTCTCTCTCTCCTCCTACAGGGGCACAAATCCTTTTGCCACTGTCAAGCTTCGTCCCACCATCACCAATGACCGCTCAGCACCCCTCATCCGCTGAGGCGGGGTCCGAGGTCGTACCCCACAGTGCACCTGCCCAGGGGCTGTTCAGAGCTGGCAATGGCAGCGACAGCAGCAACAGCAGCAGATCCAAGAAGCGGGTCCCTGAGACGGGGGGTGGCTGCCCTCCCCAGACCACCCCGGCAGCCTGAGCAGCTCCAAAGCACTGGCTTGGGGTCCGAGACCTTCAAAGTAAAGCAGGCGGAATGGGGGGACAGGACAATTTCTCCCCCTCCAGGGGCTCCAGGACTCTCCCTGGGGGGCCCACCTCTTGCCCCCTAACCTCTTTCCCCCTTTTCTGCCCCCGTGGGGAGGAGCCCCTTGTACCTGCTCCGTGCCCAACACATGCCCTCTCTGTACATCTTTTGTAAATGATGAGAAATAAAGGAAGTGGACGCAAAGTGATGCGGCAGCAGGACTGGTGGTGTCTTATTTGGGGGACAGGGCAGGGGGTGAGGGATAGAGACTCCCCCATTGGAGAATGGGGTCTAGGGGGTACTGAGGTCCTGGCTGTTCCCCGGGAAGCCATCTCACTCCCAGCCCCTTGTTTGTTTGTTTGGAGAACTCTTTAGGGCTGCCCCAAAGCCCTCGCGCTGCAGCCCCCATCTCCACCTGCTCTCATTTCGACCTGTGGGTTTCCTAGGAAGTAGCGGCTGCTCGGGTCAGGGGAGAGGTGGCAGTGGCCAAGGGCTGGGACCACCAGCAAGCTGCCCTCAGGCGGCCTGGACACAGCACCCTTTGTTTTGGCCCCTCCCCCCCCCACATTCCCAGGCACAGGCGTGGATTAGCTTCATTCTAGAGAAAGCTGCCAGCCCCTCCTGGAATGTGGCCTGGGGCGGGGGGTTGGGGCGGGGGCAGATGAGGCACTGAGGTGATTAGAACCGTTGGGGTCTCTTCAGGGCAGGGCTGTGCCCCCAGCACCAGACTAGGACCCCCTGGGCAAGGTCTCTGTGTCTACCACCCCAGGCTCCAGGAGGCACAGGGATTCTCTTCCTCCCTCCTGGACTGGCTTGGGACAGGGAGCCCACCGCCGAGGCCCAGCCTGGCCTGGGGCTCCCAGTCTCTTCTCCCCTCCTGGACAAAAGCCTCTTAGCAGGGGTGAGGTGTGGTGGGGGCACACACTCTAAGCTCCAGGCCTGGGGCAGGGAGCGTCAGGCGGGAGTCGGCCAGAGGCTCAGCCCAGGCTGGTGGGAAGCTGGGGTGTCTGGCAGCCCCCATCCGGGTAAGCTTCACCGGGAGCTGCGGCGGCGGCCCCTCCCTGCAGGCCTCAGGAGATGTGAGGCTGGACCCCCAAACCCACGAGGCAGGCTCAGGTGAGTGTGATGTGAGGGCTGCCTGGGATCACCCTCCTGTCTCCACCTTCAAGTGGCTGCCCCTGTGACAAGAGGACAACAGGCAGGAAAAGCCACAACCTGGTCCTAGTGGAGGAGGGGCAGAGTCCCGGATACCCTGGGGGTGGTGGCACTGCCCAGTGCCAGGAGGGACACTCCAGGCAGGAGGGCAGGAGGCTATCCCCAGCCCCCGGCTCCTGGTGCACCTGTCTCTGAGTACACCCTCCTCATCTGTTATGGGGGCGCTTGTAACTGCTGTGAGGGCCCCGGGTGGAGCCCCAGGAATGAGACAGGCTTTGGAGCCATTCTTTTCATATAGAGGGTTTGAGGTTTGGAGGGCAGAAGGCCACTCTCTCAGTGCTGCTAAGGTTCCTACCTGTCTGGCAGAAGCCAGAGACCTGACTCCTCTCCCGCAAGATTCCCAGCTGGCCTCGGGGTGATCAATCACCCATCTTACATCGGAGGAAAGGGAGGTTGGGAGAGGGGAGGCGACCGGCCCAAGTCAGGGAGGGAATCCATGGCTGAGCTGAGATGCATGGGAACTCAGCTCCCCTGGCTGATATCTGTTGAAAGTGGCTTTTGTCCCCTTAATGTTCTAATGACAATAGTCATTTGTGATCACTGAGAAACATTAGGAACATGGCGGAAGGCTAAAGAGGAAAATCACGCACAGCGGCCCTTTGCAGCCGGCATCTGCCCCTCTGCTGTTTGTTCTGTTGTCCCGAGACCCTCACGCGTACGGGGCGACTTTGGTGCTGGACGCCCACCTCCAGGCACATACCTGCTCCACTTCCCGACGCCTTCCACCTGAGGCCCTGAGGGGCCAGCAGTTGTCCTTCAGAGGGAGCCTGCAGAGGTGCAGAGTCAGGTGGGACCCGTCGTCCTCCCCTCGTCCTTCAGCGCCCTTTGCAGGAGAAGGAGACTTGGGGTGAGAGTCCTACCTCCGTTTCCCCTTTTGGTTCCCAGACCTGAGCCACCCTCACGTGGGTAGCCCTGTGCCTCAGTTTCCCCATGCTTCGTCTCCATCCCCCTCCTTCTCTAGGCTGCTGGCCCAGCCCCTCCCTCTTGTCCCCGCCCCCTCCCAACAGAGGCAGCGATGGGCGCTGGCGGCCCCCGGCGGGGCGAGGGCCCCCCAGACGGCGGCTGGGGCTGGGTGGTGCTGGGCGCCTGCTTTGTGGTCACCGGCTTCGCCTACGGCTTCCCCAAAGCCGTGAGCGTCTTCTTCCGCGCGCTCATGCGCGACTTCGACGCCGGCTACAGCGACACGGCCTGGGTGTCCTCCATCATGCTAGCCATGCTCTACGGCACGGGTCAGTGTCCCCGCCCGGCCCTCCGCCTCCCCGGGACCCCTGGGATCCGGAACCAGGAGACACCCGAGCCCCTGAGCATCCCCCTGACCCTCGGGGTGGCCCCCGAAGTCCCTTCCTGCCTGTGGGAACCCTGGCACCAGAAAGAGGGGAAGAGAGGGCGGGAGGGAGACAGCGGCCAGAGGCGGGGCCGGCCCAGGGGGCTGCCCTGCGAGCTCAGAGGGCCCCTTCTAAGACCACACCCGCCCATTGTAGAGGCAGGAAAGCTGAGAGCCACAGAAGCACTCCCCCTCCCCGCAGCCCTGACCTGTAGGTGGGGGCTTGCTGGAGTTCCCATCCTGGGAGGCGGGGCTGCGGAGGAATCCCAGTCTGTGCCAGGGCGGGACTTGGAGGCTGTGAAGGTTAAAGGGGTGCGGAAGCCCCCGCTCCGCTTGGGGTTTGGGTTCGCAGGATGGGGTGCTCTGGGCCTTGCCCTCGCAGGATGCTGTCTCTTTGGCCTGTCCCCTCCAAGCTGTGTGACCTTGGCCAGACACTGCCCTCCTCTCTGTGTCCCTGAGCCGGAGGTGACCTTATTCCTTAGAGGACTCAAGCCATCCCGGGACCCGGGTGGTGACCCTGCCCTGCCCACAGGCCCCGTGTCCAGCATCCTCGTGACCCGCTTTGGCTGTCGCCCGGTGATGCTGGCGGGTGGGCTGCTGGCTTCCGCGGGCATGATCCTAGCTTCCTTTGCCACGCGCCTCCTGGAGCTCTACCTGACCGCTGGGGTGCTCACAGGTGAGGGCCCCCTGGTCTCCTCTCCGCTGGGTTGGGGGTCGGGGGTTCTTGCTGCAAGATCTGTCCTCGGTTTCCCTATGAGGGACAGTCTTCGAAGTCCCTCGGCTGGGTTCCCGGATCTGCTGGGTTCCCGGGCCTGGCCCCTCCCTCCTGTGGGGGCCAGGGAGGGGCTCTCCGGGGACCCCGGCACAGCACCGCCTCGCCCGCAGGCCTGGGCCTGGCCCTCAACTTCCAGCCGTCGCTCATCATGCTGGGGCTGTACTTCGAGCGGCGGCGGCCTCTGGCCAACGGGCTGGCGGCGGCGGGCAGCCCCGTGTTCCTGTCCGCGCTGTCGCCGCTCGGCCAGCAGCTGCTGGAGCGCTTCGGCTGGCGCGGCGGCTTCCTGCTGCTCGGCGGGCTCCTGCTGCACTGCTGCGCCTGCGGGGCTGTCATGAGGCCGCCGCCCGGGCCGGGCCCGCGACCGCGCAGGGACAGCGCCGGCGACCGCGCCGGGGACGCTCCGGGCGAGGCGGAGGCTGACGGTGCGGGGCTGCAGCTGCGCGAGGCATCCCCCAGGGTCCGGCCCCGCCGGCGCCTGCTGGACTTGGCAGTGTGCACCGACCGCGCCTTCGCCGTGTACGCCGTCACCAAGTTCCTGATGGCGCTCGGGCTCTTCGTCCCCGCCATCCTGCTGGTGAACTACGCCAAGGACGCGGGCGTGCCCGACACCGACGCCGCCTTCCTGCTGTCCATCGTGGGCTTCGTGGACATCGTGGCGCGCCCGGCGTGCGGCGCCCTGGCGGGCCTGGCGCGTCTGCGGCCGCACGTCCCGTATCTGTTCAGCCTGGCCCTGCTGGCCAATGGGCTCACAGACCTGAGCAGCGCACGCGCGCGCTCCTACGGCGCCCTCGTCGCCTTCTGCGTCGCCTTCGGCCTCTCCTACGGCATGGTGGGCGCGCTGCAGTTCGAGGTGCTCATGGCGGCTGTGGGCGCGCCCCGCTTCCCCAGTGCGCTGGGCCTGGTGTTGCTCGTGGAGGCCGCGGCTGTGCTCATCGGACCGCCCTCTGCCGGTGCGCCCCGAAGGAAGAGGGGGTGGCGAGCCTAGTGCCCCTTAGACCCAGGGAAGCTCCATCCCCCTGTCTCAGATGGAACTTCCAGGGATGAGGGGAAGGGGCAGTCGGGTGGGTGGACTCCCCTTCACGGCCAGTTAGTCCCTCCTCCAAGCCGGACCGCCCGCTCTGGGTGAGGACAGAAAAGCCCAGGAAGGTGCAGGGAAGAAAGCAACACTGGTAGCTGGCCAGATCTGCCATCCCAAGCAGTTGGCACAAGGCCATCTGGAGCGCAGGTGCTTATTCTCATTTTGCAGATGAGGAAACTGAGGCACAAAGCCTTAGCGCAAGTTGCAGCCCCAGAATGAGAGCCTCAGTGTACCTGCTGCTAAATGCCCACGCCTTTAGAATGGTGCATCTAGAATGGTGACTGGAATGGGGACAGTATCTTTGGGAAACTGGTGTTGGGGCCAGAAACAGAGTGGGGGTGCTCAGCGGGCAGATGGGGAGAAGCACTGGTGTCTTTCACTGTGCAGATGGCCTGCTGGCACTTGTCACCGTCACCCTTAGGAAGTCATCGTCATGAGGGTGGTCAGGGAAGGCTTCCTGGAATATCCCCCAGGTGAAGGCACAGCATGGATGGGCAGGGCTTGTTGGGGGGGAACAGCGTCCTTATGCAAGCAAGGCAGGAACCAAAATTGGAAAGGTGGGAGTGGGGGACATGAGGGTTTTCCTGGGTTGTCAAGTTATCTTGAAACAGCAAGGGAGCCTGCCTTTGAGTCCCAGAGGCTAGAGGGCTGTGAGATGGTGCAGTAACCAGGGAGGACACCTTGCGGGGGCCGCAGGCTGCACTGAGATGGGGTGAGCTGCTCGTCCTTCCTTCAGGGCTGGGCTAATCGAGTGCCCTCACTGAGCTCTGTCATCCCACCTGACCCAGTGAGAACGGCAAAGTCCCTGAGCCAGTGTGTGGGCAGGCCACAAAACCAGCCTGCCCAGGCCTCAAGGAACCGTCTTCCATTTCTTGTGTGAATCTGGATGGATCTGATGGGCAGAGGAGGTGCATGGGGTGAGGAGAATGACCTAGAGAGAGGGTGGAGCACACAGACAAACCACACTTTAGGGGGAAATACTTGCAATTAAGAGATTTTCCTGGTCGGGTGTAGTGGCTCATGCATGTAATCCCAGCGCTTTGGGGGGCTGAGGCCAGAAGTCTGAAACCAGCCGGGGCAACATGGCAAAACCCTGTCTCTACCAAAACAAAACAAAACAAAATTAGCTAGGTGTGGTGGCGTGCACCTCTGGTTCCAGCTACTCAGGAGGCTGAAGTGGGAGGATGGCTTGAGCCCAGGAGGTGGAGGTTGCAGTGAGCCAAGATGGCACCACTACATTCCAGCCTGGGCCAATGGAGTGAGACCCTGTCTCAAAAGAATAAGAAAATTCCTGAAGCCAGGTGCAGTGGTTCACACCTGTAATCCCAGCACTTTGAGAGGCCAAGTCGGGAGGATCCCTTGAGCTCAGGAGTTCAGGACCAGCCTGGGCAACACAGCAAGACCCCATCCCTAAAAAAAACATAATAAAAGAGAGACTTTCCTGAGTTTGAAAGTAGTATCTACAAGGGATAGAAGCCTTGAGAAATAGAGAAGGAAATGAGTTACTGGCCCACAAGCCCCACCTGTGCCGATGATGGCTTGGTCTGGGATGCTCATGGGCCTCCTGGGACAGAGGGGTGGGAGGACTAAGCCAAGCCCCTGAGGACCAGGGCATTTACATGGCAACAGCAAGAGGTGGAGGCCCCCAGGAGGGCAGAGCTAAGCCCAGGGCCCCCTCCCCGCTCCCACCCCAGATACCCCACTGCCAAGCAAGTCACAGGACACTTGTGGGGCTTGAATCAGAGGGTGGAGGGGACGCCTCACCAGAAGCCACATATCACTTAAGCAATTGAGGTCCAGGGACAGCAAGTGACATTTTTAAGGTTTCAAATGGCAGAATCCACATGAGGTTTTACATCTGTAAAACAGGAATAAAGAGTGGGCATGTGTGTGTCACCCAGGAGCCTCACCAAGTCAGTGGCACCACCCTTGACCTGAGAGTGCAGGAGAGTGAGGGGAGGACCCCACAGGACCTTACCTCTCCCTCCTCTTCCTCCTCCTCCCCAGGCCGCCTGGTGGATGTGTTGAAGAACTATGAGATCATCTTCTACCTGGCCGGCTCTGAGGTGGCCCTGGCTGGGGTCTTCATGGCTGTCGCCACCAACTGCTGCCTGCGTTGTGCTAAAGCTGCCCCGTCAGGCCCAGGCACTGAGGGCGGAGCCAGTGACACTGAGGACGCTGAGGCTGAAGGGGACTCTGAGCCCCTGCCTGTTGTTGCAGAGGAACCCGGCAACCTGGAGGCCCTGGAGGTGCTCAGCGCCCGGGGCGAGCCCACAGAACCAGAAATAGAGGCGAGGCCGAGGCTGGCTGCCGAGTCTGTATAACTCAGGGTGCTCTGGGTGGGGTGGCCCAGTGACTTGGGAACACAGCTTCTTGTCTCAGAGAGCCTGGTACGCTGGGAGGCTGGTCTGGGGTGGTCACTCCCGGGGTCCACGTCTGGGCTCCAGTTGATCCCCTGGGTGTCTGGGAACTGCCTCCCTCATCTGTGCCCCAAGTTCCGCCAGGCCCTGCCCCATCGCCAGTGAAGCTGCTATGGAGCAACAGGAAACTGGTGATAAAGCTCAGCTGAACGACAGAAGGTTCTATTCCTCCGCCCAGGCTCCGGCTGCCACCTGAGTTGGGGGTCAGGGTGGTGGGAGGGAGTCTGGGAGGTCTCTCTCCAGGCCCCCTAAGCAGGCTTCTAGGTGGGCAGTGTTGGGAGGAAGCGTCAGAGATGGATGAAGAGACCCATCGTTCCCAGGTGTAGAGACACAAGGGGCTGGGCGGGCACAGGGCTCAGGGGCACAGGGCTGGGTGGGCACAGTGCCTGGCTCCTGCCCAGCCCCACTGCTCAGAGCTGTCTGCTGAAGGCCCCCTCGCTGGCATCTGCCTTTTCCCGTGGAGGGAACGAGGGGTTGGCAGCAACTAGGGTTCAAGGTTGGGGTCTGCCTGCAGGCGGGGGGCCCGAGCGGTCTGAGAAGACTCACAGTTCCCAGGGTCAGGGTCGGTTTGAATCCCAGCCCCGCTGACTTCCTTGCTCACTGGAGGCTGAGCATACGACTCCGTCCCCTGGGGTCCTGGGGAGGGTGGGACCAGGCGCTCAGTAACACCATGGGCCCTGCTGCCTTCCACGAGGTGGCCATGTCCCCTCACCTTCCCAGAGGGCATCTCTCCCACTAGAGGATAAACTTGGGTGTCCAGGGCCAGGGGCTTTTGCTGTGGACACTGTGCTGGCAGCCAGGTCATCTGCTGATCCCAGCACCTGCCTTCTCCCCACGGAGCGTCCCACGATCTCCCTCACACTTTGACATCTGACCTCCTGCACTTGGATCCAGGTGCACGAATCTGGCAAGACGCGATGTATTCCCTCTATGCATTTATCCTCCTCCCATACATCACACCCCTCCTTTCTTTGCCTCCCTCCGAATCATGAGCGTGGTGAACAGGCCCCTGCAGAGGAAGCCGCCTTCCCTCCGCAAACTCCCCTCACCTTCCAGCCCGGCCCATAGTGACCCCTCCCCACTGGTCCCTGCTGGCCCTCATTTTCCATCTAGGCCCCAGGAAGGTCTGGGGAGCCCCACAGATGCCTGGCCGGCTTCTACTTATATGGCCTGTGGCTTCCCCTGCACCACTAGAGCAGTGACTGCGTTTGACTTTATTATTATTATTTTTTATTTATTTTTTTGAAATGGAGTCTCGCTCTGTTGCCCAGGCTGGAGTGCAGTGGCACAATCTCGGCTCACTGCAAGCTCTGCCTCCCAGGTTCACACCATTCTCCTGTCTCAGCCTCCCCAGCAGCTGGGACTACAGGCCCCCGCCACCACGCCTGGCTAATTTTTTGTATTTTTAGTGGAGACGAGGTTTCACCGTGTTAGCCAGGATGGTCTCGATCTCCTGACCTCGTGATCCGCCCGCCTTGGCCTCCCAAAGTGCTGGGATTACAGGCGTGAGCCACCGCTCCCGGCCCGTCTGACTTTATTTAAGATTTAAGAGTGCTTGCTCTGTGCCAAGCCCTGTTCTAAGCCCTCTCCAGATGTTCATTTAATCTCCTAACAAGCCAATAAGGTAGGTGCCACACTTCAGATAGGGAAATTGAGGCCCAGGGAGGTCAGGAACGAACCCAGGCTGTCAGTTCCAGCCTGTGCTCTTGGCCTCCACTCTGGCTGCCCCCTTCAGGGAGGCAGTGTGGTCTGTCTGATGGCTCTGCGGGGACCCAGGTGGGCTCCTGGTGACAGCCAGCCCCTCCTCCATGTCCCACCCCTGCCAAGCCTCCCATTTGGGTTTCTGCCCAGCAATGCATGCTCAAAGCTGATGCAGAAACCCTTTTTCCATCCTGGACTCAGCCCACCTCGCACACCCTGTTGCCCCCTCGCATTCTCAGGATGGCCATATTCATCGTCCAAACAGGAACACGTTAGAGTGACAAGGGCCACTATGACTGATTACACCAGGCCGAGGCTGGCCAGGAGAAGCAGGAGAAGTGGCCACCCTGTTTCTGCCACTCTGCAGACACTCCCCATGGCCTCTCCCCACGCCCCTCTTCCCACAGCCCCCGAGCACCTCTCCCCACACGCCTTTCCCCACCACCCGGGCAGCACAGGCGCGCCTGGAGTCAGCACTTACCCCTCACCACCCTCCCCTACTTGGGGGCTCAGTCGCCCTGGCTCCATGTCTGCCCTTCTCTCCCCCAGAGGTTTATTTCCTGTCGGAAGCACAGAAAGGTCACAGATTGGGGGCGGGGGAAGGGGGCGGGGGGTGAGATACAAAAGGTTCCACAAAGCAGAAAGCTTTGGAGGCAGGTGGCAAAGTCAGGCCTTCAGGACAGATCTGAGTTAAAACCCACTGTGTCCCCACACAGGGCGTGGCCTTGGGCAAGATCTTTCTCTGAGCCTCAAATCACCAGCTGTGAGGGGACCACAGTGCTAGCCCTGCAACACTTCAGTGAGGCATAAATGGTGCATAGCAAGGGCGCTGTCAATAGACGGTGGAGGGGAGGGGCAGACAAGGAGGGTCTGAAGCCACTGCGACCACTGCGCCATCCAGGTTTGTGTTTATTCGATACAGGCCCAGAACCCAGCCCTCCTTCAGAGAAGTGGCCGAGCTGGGGGAACAGAATAAATAAAGGCCGCCGAGGTGTGATGGGGACTGGACGGGCCGGTCTGGGGCGAGGCAAGGGTGCCCAGGAGGCATTGACCCCAACCTCAGCTGTCCACGGCTGGCCCCACTCCCAGCAGGCTCCGGGGGCAGTGTGAGCGCCCACAAGGAGCAGGGCTCGGACTCCTGCCACCTCCAAGTCCTTTCTTTTCCTTCCTGCCCTCCCTCTCCTTCCTAAGGCAGGTCCAGAGACCAAGCTCTCCCTCTGGCCGGGGAGCCGGGAGGGGAGGGAGGGTGGAGGGGCCAGTGTCCAGGTCCCAGGCCATGACCCTGGTGCCTGTCCTGGGCAGGAGCCCAGGTTCGCTGTGCGAGGACAGAGGAGCAGGGAGGCAGGCGCCCCAAGCCAGCAGGCCTTTATGCGTCGCCCCCTTGCGCGGCGGCCCCGCCCCGCTCCCAGGCTCCGTCCTCCCACGCACCCTGCCCCCGGCACCACAGCCGCGGGGCACTCAGGAGTCACACCAGCTTCCACCCTTGTCCAAGGGCCCAGCAGCCCCTCGTGTATCCCTGGACGGCTCCCCAGCTGCCGTGTCTTCCTCCTCCTCCTCCTCCTCCCCATCTGTGAACTCCTCCTGGTTGAGGCCATAGGCCAATGTGGTGTGCGCCAGGTCTACCTCGATGGGGAAGACGTCGGCATCCCGCAGCACTGCGTAGCAGTCGTTGTAGTACTTGGACATGGTGGACACGAGGCGCTGCAGCTGGAACACGATGTCCTGGACTGGGGTGGGAGGTCGGGGGACAGGCTGCAGTGGGCTCTGGCTGCCTGCCTCAGGGAGGAGACTCTCCCAGCCCACCCGGCCCACCTCTCGCCTCCCCTGGGCTTCCCACTCGGGCACTTCCCTGACCCCTCATGACCTGGCAAGGGGCGGAGGCAGGGGCCGCCCAGCCCGGGGCCTCCCCGCTCCCAGTTCAGGGAACGCAGGAGGCTGCAGGGTAAATGGATCATGGATGGCAGCCCACGGAGCCCACGCGCACAGGCCAGCTCCACCCAGGCCAGGCTCTGGGCAGATGGCTGGGCTCCTGGAGGGGCTTTACATCTGGGCCGTGGCCTGGCCCTGAGAGTACCCCTCTGGGCCTCAGTTTTCCCACCTCTGAAATGGAGAGCGGACGGGGAGGAGGGCGGCGCTCACCGTGCTTCTGGTCCAGCAGCTCCATCTTCTCCAGCACATCCTTGCGCATCTGGGAGAAGCGGGCGCGCGCCTCCTGGCGGCAGCGCAGGATCAGGCGGTACTCATAGTTGCCGGTGCTCACCCGGTAAAGGGGCTCGCCTAGGGCCTGGGGCGGGGGTGGGACAGGAGTGCCTGCTCAGGGACGGCCTCGCACCGCACTGTGCTTTCAAAGCCACGGCTGTTCTTCATTCCTGAGACCTCATTTCTGAGACTTCAGTGTTTCTCAGAAGCACTCAGTGATAGCTTTGAAGAGAGGAAAAAACCAAACCCAAACCTCTGCCACATTCAATGAACACTGGCCACGAAATGGATCCCGACAGCAGAAAAATCAAACACTTAAAAGCGCCTCATAGGAGTGAAGAAAATCCGATTTCCCTCCAAGAGTCCCCCAGACTGAGGGAGTGGTTCCCGGCCGGGTGCCCAGCACCCCGAGGCCCAGCGAGCGGGACTGGGAAGATGGCCCTAAATCTCCAGGAACGAGAGTCCAGCCAAGTCCCCCCGGTCTCTCCCGGGTTGGCCTGAGCCACCTGCTATCCCTGGCAGACCAGGTGGGGGGAAGTACAAGCCCCCCACCCCCTCCAACACTCACAATGCAGCTGTATTCCTCGTCATCCATCTCCTTCACCTTCAGGCAGTACGACTGTGTGGGACAGGTGAGGCTGTCAGAGTGGCTACTACCCCCACCCCAGGTCCCCAGCTCCACCCCCATCACCCACACGCAGCAGGAGAGGCTGGCGCAGGTGTTCAGGGAGTCCCAGAGCGGGCAGCGGCAGGTGCTGAGGGATGACAGGGCCTGAGGCTTAGGCGGCCGAGTTGACCAAACTCAAGGCCCAAGAGATGCTCTGGGGAAAAAGGGGTCTGTCGTTAAAGGAGCTTAGGAAGACCCTTGAAAATTCACACTGCACATCAGCCTAGCAAAGGCTCTGATAAGTCCTGCAGCAAAGGAACCTTGGCTTGCTTAATAGAGCATTTTCTCTCAATTCCTTTGACTGTAGAATAATTAAATGTAAAACTCACGAACGTTCACTGACACCCATTTTATGCTCACTCACCTAGTCTAACCCATTGTTTAAAGGCAACAAATCCCAAGGGGTCAGAGTGCACACAGCGAGAGCCATGCCCGCCCCAGGCTCTCAGATGCTTCTTTGTGCAGGCGCAGCAGGGCTTTGGCTGCACCTCCCTGGGCCTCTGGGCCCACACCTGGAGCAGACATGCTGTCAGCTCTGGCTGGCCTCGCTGGCCGCAGCATGGCTGACTGAAGTGGGGCAGATCTCCAGGGTGGGCGCTTGCCCTAGCAGCCTGGGCACCTGGACTACTCACCAGGTACTCAAACTTCACGTCCAGGTACTTCTTGATGGTGAGGCGAGTGTCCGGGATGGCTTTGTTGAGGTACGTGTTCAGATCCGTCAGCATCTGGAAGAGGGTGGGTGGATGCTGAGGCTGTCACGGCAGGGGTGTGCCAGGGTGACAATGAATGGCACTGATGCGTCACCCTTGTTGGTGGACTCGACTATCAGAGCCAGATGGTGCTCCCTGATGCCTTGTCCCTCTCAAGGATGAGAAGACTAGTGCCAGGCCTAGGGCAAGCTGTGACTCAGTGGCGAGCCAGGGTCAGAAGCCAGCCCAGAGGTCAATGGCAAGGCCCAAGGGGGCACAGTGACTCACCCACAGTCCACTGTGTGGGTGACTGAGCCAGAGGCTGTACCCAGGCACAGGACTCCAGCATACGACCTTCTCTGCATGCCACACTCTCCCCTCCCCACCCTCACACGCCAGACACACACATGCTCAATAGGACCTACCGGCTTGATGGTTTTCAGAAGCCGAATGCCGAACTTCTCGATGCTGCGGTGGGCATCGGCGAACTTCACAAAAGCCTCGCTCGCAGCTGGCTGGGGCTCCCGCACCCCGATCACGGAGAACACGTCCCCAAAGGCTGCAGGACAAGTTTGCCTTGAAGGCTGCCCCTACTTGGCCCCCTAAGAGAAGCCAGGGGTTTGTTGGGGAGAAGCAGGGCAGGGGGCCTGGCAGGCTGGAAGCCAATGTCTGCACAGGGGCTACACCTCCAAGAGAGCTGGTCTAAACCCCCTGAAGGAGCTGAGTCTACACCTGGAGGAAACTGGATTGACACCTCCAAGAGCTGGTCTGTGCCCCCTAGAGTCCTGAGTGTACACACCAAGGGAGTTGGCCCTCATTCCCCAGAGGGACCAGTGAGAGAAGACTGGGTCAAGGTTTGTGGAGGTGGCGCCGCCTGAGGCAGAACACTGGTCCGAGTCTAGACACCTGGATTGGAACAACAGCTCCACCACTTGGGAGCAGTGTGGCCCTCTCCTTTGTCTGGGCTTCATTTTCTGCAGTAGCTGGGGTCAGCTGCAGTCGGCCTGCCCAGAGTTACAGGTTGTCAGAAATATAAATAAGCAAGGGCCTTGTGTACTGCCAGTGGCAGTGTGAGGAGACAGGGTGGGGCCTGTTCATCGTTGCGGCCCTTAAGAGACCAGCTGATCTAGATGTTCCCCGCAGGCCCATCGCAAATCCCAGCACCTGGGACCAGGCCCAGCCCAGAGGGAGCCTGAGGTCAGGCGCTGTGGGTCTGACCCACCTCAGCATGGGAGTGAGAGGCCCCAGGGATTGCCCACGGTCACACCACAGCTTTGGGGGATGCCATTACCCCGGTGAGTCTGCGACAGCTCATAAAAGGCCCGTAGGAGGTTCTTGGTGTGTTCCGTCATCCCTGTGGGAGAGACCGAGTGATGCGGAATGGGGACGCATGGCGGGGACCACACTGGCCCAGGGCAAGGCCTCCAATTGCCCATGCCACCCAAGGCCTCTGCTAGGCCCTGATACATGGCCTTTCCCCACCGCCCAACCACAGCCCAGGGGTAAAAGCTCAGTCCGACCCAACCCGTGAGGAGCCCCATCAGACAGGGGCGCCAGCATTTTGTAAGATGCAGGGGTACACAGCCTGCTGTGGGCTTTAGCCCTGGGACAGTGTGGGATTCCGGGGGACTCTCGCTATGTTTACAAGTGCTATTCTCTGAATTTTTATGAGTATCAGGTTTTGTTTTTTTTGAGATAGGGTCTTGCTCTATTGCCCAGACTAGAGTGCGGTGGTGTGATCTTGGCTCACTGCAACCTCTGCCTCCCTGGTTCAAGCGATTCTCATGCCTCAGCCTCTCGAGTACTGATTATAGGCACACACCATCATGCCTGGCTAATTTTTGTATTTTCAGTAGAGATGGCGTTTCACCATGTTGGCCGGGCTGGTCTCAAACTCCTGACCTTAAGTGATCCGCCCACCTCAGCCTCCCAAAGTGCTGGGATTACAGGCGTGAGCCACTGCACCAGGCCCCTGAGTTATTTTTAAATTCAGAAGAAGTATATATTCTTAAGAACTCTTAATGCCCATGGTCCTAGTATTTTGTAGGCTGGCATTCCTAGTGCCAGCACCCCTGTTGCCACTCTGCTGAGAGCATGCTCCCTGGGGTAGAGCTAGTGCCAGGACGAGGCCACCCCCCACCCACCTTTGTATAGCTCAGCGGTCCGCTCCAGCTCCTCTAGCCTCTTGACAAGCCCATCTGTCGGGATTCAAAGAAGAGGGGAGGTCAGTGGGCTCAGCAAGCCACAGGAGGCCCAGGGCCATGCTGGGGAGGGGAGAGGCAACCCCAGAGGAGAACCAGGAAGGGAAAGATCAGGGGTCCCAGGGAGGGGGATTTGGCAGCTCGGGTCAGCTGGGTTCAAAGGTGTTTTGTAAATGACTAGGCCCTCCTCATGGCCAGCGGAGGGTCCGTGCCTAGCAGGCAAAGCTCCCACACTTCTAACACAAAGCCTGCTGACAGCTGGGGAGGAAGGCTGGCAGGGGCCATAGGAATGGAGATGGAGCAGCCAGGCCTCTAGCGCAGGAAGGACATGGTCTCTGCCTCCCAAGCACACAGATGGCTCAGAAGGGAAAACGCAACTTGGGGAGGGAGGGGGAAATTCAGGAAGGCTGAGAGAGCTCACACTGGGAAGAGGCCTTGGTGATCAGTCATTGGCTTAGTGTTTCTTGAGCACCCACTGTGTGCCAGCCACCATGTCAGGCTCACTTTGAGCCAAGTCTTGCTCTCAAGGCTGAAAGCCCAGCAGAGAAGCCAGCCCAGTGGCCGGGCGATGGACAGCAGTGTGATGGTGAGGGCTGCAGGGGAGAGGTGGGGCAGTCAGGTGCTCTCTGCTCCCCAGCCTCCTGTGTTGACCTGGGTCAGGGTTTTTTAGCAGAAGAGGGGAGGAGCGGAGGCTGTGTTCAGGCCTCTCTGGGCAGGGAGGTGGCAGTGCGACAGGCTGTCGGGGAAGGAAGGGAGCAATTCAGAGGTCTTGGGGAGGCTTTGGCCACCCGGTGGCCTCCAGGCCTGGGTTCCCCAGAGCCTTAGCACCTGGCCAGCGGCAGGAAAGGAGCCATGTAAGCATCGTGTTGTTGTTTTTAGCTGGGTCATGGGACATCATGACAGCTTCAATTTTAGAAACCCTATTTAAGGCCAGGGAAATTGCAAGGTTTGGGGGGAAAAACACAACAACCAGTTCTAATTTCATCTCAACGGCTGGTAACTACAGTAACAGGGATTTATAGGCACGGCACCAGGAGGCTGAAAATAGCAGCCGCCACTTTTGTACACCATTTGGAACAAGCTCAGTCCCCACCCCCACTTCCTTAGCCAATAAAGCCCAGTGTGCCCAGCTGAGCCTACAATTTCTAGAAGTATTTATATCTACCCCACAGGCACACTGCAGAGCTGCTGCTATTTTTAAACTCGGACTGGCGACGGTAGGAGGGGGACTGAGTGTTTCGCTGGCCACCCCAGGGAGGGAAAGTGTGTGCGCATGTGTGCATGCGTGTGTAAATGTGCATGTACACGCCTCCCCCCTCGCCTGCGCAGCCACCACGAAGGGAGGACCTGCAGAGGCAAGGGCAGCAGCACCACCTCCTGGACAAAGGAGGCAGGAGGTGGGCCGCGAGAGTGCTGGGGTGAGGGGTAAGGGGCTGAGGGCAGGGGCAGAGGCACCTCCCCACACTAAGTCTATTTTCCCATCTGTGACCTGAGGGGCACTGGCTAAGACAGCCCAGCTGACAGCTGTGGACCCTCCGGGAGCTGGAGAGGCCTCTGGGGGTACAGAGATGGTGACTTCTCAGTTCCACGGGCAGAGGCCAGGGTCAGACCCGCGGGACCCACAGCAGCTTGGTGGGCAGCCATGGTGCCCCCCACTCTTCTCAGCCTGGGCTTGAGTCCCCGGGGCCCCAGCTGGGTGGGAAGGGACTCACCATTGCACAGGATGGCCCGGCTCAGGCCCAGAGCATCTGCGGTCCCTGAACTCATGTTCTCCACCAGCCGGTGCTTGACTTTCTTCAACACTGAGCGGGGGACAAAGGACCTGGTGAGTCTGTGGCTGCCCAGAGGCCATCCCTGCCCCCAGCCTTACCTCCATGCACAGGGAGCACCCCACAGGGGGCAGAAGGGCTGCTGGGGGTGGCTGTGAAGTGGGGAATGTCCAGTGGGGAGGTCCTAGGCCCCTGCCCTATTCCCTCTGCTTCACAGAGGTGCTGGCAGCCTGGGCAGTTAAACATGAAGCGCTTCGCCCAGGGCCTGCTACGCAACATCAGCTGCTGGTTGCTGAGAGCCCAGTGCTGCCCGGGCTCAGCACAGGCTAATGGAAGCCAAGGAGGCCTCTTCCCCTCCTCTGTGTCACATCAGGACCTAGGGTGTCACATAAAGGGGAGGGGGAGAAGAGGGGCCCCTGGGCTGGTTATGTGAAAGTAATGGGCACCATCAATGACCATGAAGCTCGGACCCCAGACTCAGTTACTGCATCTGACCAGCTTAGTCCTAGGAAGGGGACTTAGTCCTGTGTTGGAACCAGAGGGTTTCGGAGGGAGCTCCCAGATAGATCCAGCCTGCCCTTAGCCCCTTGGCCTCTGGCCCTAGGGTGTATGAAGGGGATTGCTGGGCTCCAGAGCTGAGACCTAGGTGTGCGCTCACCAGGGGCTGCAGCGCCCTCTCTGGGTCTCAGGCTTTGATCCATAATGTGAAGCGGCCGGTCCAGAGGACTCGAAGCTGCTGTCCAGCTCTTGAGTCTTAAAGTTTCTACAGAACCGAGGCTCAGCCCCTCTAACAGGAGGGAACTTGTCCCAGGGCGCAGACCCTCTGCCCAATGCCTGAGGTCCAGTTCAGATCCAGAGTCCCCCTGGGAGCTGATGGCAGGAGAGGCCAGGGAGGAGTGCGCTGTGCTAGAGGGCATGAGGCGCCAGGCCAGGGTTAGGCTGCTCTCCCTTTATGAAGAGTGAGGCCCTGGGCCATGGAAGCCGAGGCGCTGGCCTGCAAAGGACAACCCTAGGGTAGCAAGTCCCCAGAGGAGATGGCAGAAGCAGGGAGGTAGGGGTGAAACGCGGGGGAGTGAGAAACCAGGGACAGAGTACAAGAACAGATGCAGGGAGAGCACCGGGAGGCCTCCCAGGCCTTTCAGATTTGCTTGGTCAGAGGTCAGAGCCCACAGCCATGTAACTCTGGATTCTCCTGTCATAAAGGGGAGGGCAGGGCTGGCTGTGGCACTTCTCCTTTGGGCCAGGGCCCATCCAGGGAGGCTGCTGGACACCCGTAACTGCTCTGACCAGCTTACCAATGTCCAGGGACATGCCCTGCTTGGGGTCCGCCTGCAGCTTGTTGTAGTGGATGGTCACCTCCCCCTGGAAGAGCAGCACACACAGACTAGTGAGCGAGGCTCCACACCCTGAGCCCCTTCCCAGCCAAGACTGTTCTGGACTGAGACTCCTGAGCCCAAGGCCGGGTGCGGTGGCTCACACCTGTAATCCCAACAATTTGGGAGGCTGAGGCAGGCAGATCACTTGAGGTCAGGAGTTTGAGACCAGCTTGGGCAACATGGCAAAACCCCATCTCTATTAAAAATACAAAAATTAGCTGGGCGTAGTGGCGCGTGCCTGTAATCCCAGCTGCTCAGGAGGCTGAGGCAAAGAATCACTTGAACCTGGGAGGCGGAGGTTGCAGTGAGCTGAGATCACACCATTGCACTCCAGCCTGGATGACAGAATGAGATTCTGTCTCAAAAAAAAAAAAAAAAAAAAGAATCCTAAGCCCCAGTAAGGGCCAGGCTGAGCGCTGTGACATGGCCCCACCTTGTGACCCTGTCTGATCCCAGGCCCCTCCCTTCCTACTCTACATCCAAGCCCTGGGGAATCAGTGGGGACAGGGCCGGCACCGGGCCCACAGCCTGGCGGTCTCTGATGTCTTGTGCTTCGGCCAGGTCAGGCTCTCCTTCTTCCCTCCCCACGCAAACCACACTCCAAGCCTTTGCCGTGTCATTTCCCTACACTGATTATTCCCTCCTCCACCCCAAAACACCCCATCCCCAGGAATCCCTCTACTCATCGAACAGCACATCTGAGCACTTGCTCTGTGCCTGGTGCTGGGGCACCAAGGGGAGGGGCAGGGGCAGCCCCAGCCCCGCAAGGCTGATGCGAATCAGGGAATTACACAAACCACTTTCTAACGACTGCTCAGGAGACAAAGGCTTCTCCCAAGAGGACTTGCCTGAGCACGGGAGGGCGCTGTGTTCACTCTCATCCTTGCAAACCAAAAGCCCTTGAACTTGGGACCACATTCATCCAAATATAAAACAGGATTTTAAAATCAAGTCCCAAAGGGAAACCAAAATGAGCAGATGCAATCAGAGTCAGAGGTGGGGTGTGAACTGCTCCCGCAGAATGAAACACAGGCGTGCTCAGGGGCCACCCCACAGGGAGCAGCTGTAGGCCAACGGCAAGCGGGCTGCAGTGGGAGTCGGGCCCGGGCTCCAGTTCAGCTGTGTGACCACAAGCAGGTCACTCCCCGCCTGTGGACACCTGTAAGATGGGAGAGTAATCCCTGCCCAGCACCCAAACAGGGGAGCTGGGCCAATGCTGCATCCCTGTCATGGCTGTGTGCAAATACAAAGAGCTCTTGTCCTCATGGGCAACCTGAGGTGCTGGTATGACCAAGCCTGAGAGGACAGGGAGGGACCTGGCGAGTGGAGATGGGGAGGAGATGCGGAGGGGGGAAGGGCTGCCAAATGGGGCACACACAACCCAACTCGGCCAGAACGAGACCCCCTGCACCTGTTCCCATGATCAGCTCCTCTGCCTAACAGGTCATACCTGAGGCAGTGATACCCAGACCACGTGGAGTGGCAGCTGTGGGGTCTCAATGAACCTTGCTGCTTCCTTTTTTTACAACAGAGCTCTGAGCCCCAGCCCCAGGCCCTGATTTGTCCTATGGCTAAAGGGGCTGGAATAGGAGAATGTGCAGGATGGGACTCTTCCTACAGCAAGGAAGGAGAGAAGCACGGACTACTCAGGAGCAGGACAGGAGGATAAAGGGGAGAGAGGATGGAGCAGCGGCTGGCCTGGGTTAAGGCAGGAAGGCGGACTATCAGGAGTGCCAGAACCCGGAGGATGGAAGTGGGGCTGAGGGAGGTAGCTGCCACCCTTGGCCAAGCTGAACTCACAGTGGGGACCCTTGCCCCCGAGACTTTCAAATCACCCCATGGCTGTGCACTGCCTGCACATCAGTTCTTTCACAGTATTGGTTTCCTGAGACTAGCTAGCAGCCACTTCGCTAGGAAATGGCAAAGGGGCTGCATGCTCGCTTCAGGAGAGGCCGGGATGCCGCCTGCCATTCCAGTCCTGGAGCGGCAGGGGTGGGGGAAAGCGGGGCAGGCAGTGTGTGACTCTGGTCTGTAGAGCAGAAGATCAGCTGGCCTGGGAGGGGGGTCTCTGGGTGTCTATGAGCCCAGGAGGCTGTGTGGGACCGAAAGTTCCTACAGGATGGGGAAAGGGCACTCTTCTTTCCCTCCTAGCCCTCACAGGCCCAGCGTGACCCGGCTGACATTATTGGGTGTCTACTGACCCAGGGAGGATCACCTTGGACTTTTAGCTTCAGCTCTGGCACTGACTGGGGACACATGGGCTTGCCTGAGGGGTGGTTCCAAGTCTGTCAGCTCCCTGGGAGCTCATGGGGACCTTGTGGTCTTGCTGCCCACTCTCTTGCCAAGGTTCAGCACAAGTCCTGGAGCACGATTAGTATTTATTGAATGAATGAGGGATGGATGAGGGAGGCTGGAGTGTGACCCTGACCCTGCACATGACAAGGAAGGGGGCGGTGAGGGCTGATACCCCCTTCCAGGCCTGCTGGGACCTCTGGCAGCCTGGAGGTCTCAGAAACATGTGTTGCTGCCTCTGGACACCTGCTCTGCAGCAGCCCTTACCTTCACCTCCTGAATCATCTTCGCCACCTCCACCTTAGTTTTCCCTTTGATTGACCTGCCATTGACACCGGTGATCTCATCGCCAGCTGCCACTGTGCCGTCCAAGGCTGCTGGGGTGTTGTCAAATACCTGTGGGTGCATAAGGAGAGTGGTGGGGGAAGAAAGGGAGGGCTAAGATGGAACCTGGGAAGACACCTGACCACTGCCTGGCTCTGTCTTCCACTCTACCCTCTGCTCTCGTTTTTTGAGAAAGCGTCTCACCACCCGGGCTGGAGTGCAGTGGCGTGATCACAGCTCACTGTGGCACTGAACTCCTGGGCTCCAGCAATTCTCCTGCCTCAAATACATAGTCAAATGATTTCTTTTTTTTGAGTCGGCGTTTCGCTCTTGTTGCCCAGGCTGGAGTGCAATAGCGCCATCTCGCTCACCGCAACCTCCGCCTCCCGGGTTCAAGCAATTCTCCTGCCTCAGCCTCCCGAGTAGCTGGGGTTACAGGCATGCGCTACCACGCCCGGCTAATTTCGTATCTTTAGTAGAGACAGGGTTTCTCCATGTTGGTCAGGCTGGTCTCAAACTCCCGACCTCAGGTGATCCACCTGCTTTGGCCTCCCAAAGTGCTGGGATTACAGGTGTGAGCCACCGTGCCCGGCGGCATCAAATGATTTTTGACAAGGGTGTCAAGAACATTCAATGGGGAAGGACAGTCATTTCAACAATGGTATGTGAAAAATGAAGTTGACACTACTTAACACCACATACAAAAATTAACTCAAGGCCAGGCGCAGTGGCTCACACCTGTAATTCCAACACTCTGGGAGGCCAAGGCAGGCAGATCACCTGAGGTCAGGAATTCGAGAGTAACCTGGCCAACATGGCGAAACCCCATCTCTACTAAAAATACAAAAATTAGCTGGGCATGGTGGCAGGCGCCTGCAGTCCCAGCTACTCAGAAGGCTGAGGCAGGAGAATCGCTTGAACCTGGGAAGTGGAGGTTGTAGTAAGCCGAGATCATGTCACTGCACTCCAGCCTGAGCAACAGAACGAGACTCTGTCTCGAAGATAATAATAATAATAATAATTAACTCAAAATTGTTCAAAGACCTAAATGTAAAAGTTAAAACTATAAAACTCAGAAAAATGCCTAGTCCAAAACCTTCACGACATTGGAGTTTACAGTAATTTCTTGGATGTGACACCTAAGATCCAAGTAACAAAAAATAAACAAATTGAACTTCATAAAAATTTTAAAACTGGTGCATCAAAATACACCATCCAGTCTGGGCAATGTGGCAAAACCTTGTCTCTACAAAAAACACGAAAATTAGCTGGGCATGGTGGTGTACGCCTGTAGTCCCAGCTACTTGGGAGGCTGAGGTGGGAGGATCGCTTGAGCCTGGGAAACAGAGGCTGCAGTGAGCTGAGATCCCGTCACTGTACTCCAGCTTGGGCAACAGAGTGAGACACTGTCTCGAAAAAAAAAAAAAAAAAGAACAGAGAAGAGAAGAAAAGAAAGGCAACCCACAGAATGGGAGAAAATATTTGCAAATCACATTTTTGATAAGGGATTAATATCCAGAATATATGCAGAATTCCTAAAACTCTTTTTTCTTTTTTTCCTCTTAGCCGATTGTGCTTTGTAGAGAATTCTTAAAACTCAACAACAAAAACCAAACAACCTAATTCAAAAATAGACCAAGGGCTGGGCACGGTGGTGCGCACCTGTAATCCCAGCATTTTGGGAAACCGAGGTGGGAAGATCGCCTGGGCAATATGGCAAAACTCTGTCTCTACAAAAAAAATACAAAAATGAGCCAGGCATGGTGGCGCGTGCCTGTAGTCCCAGCTACTCGGGGGTCTGAGGTGGGAGGATCGCTTGAGCCCAGGAGGTTGAGGCTGCAGTGAGCCATGATCGCACCCCTGCACTCCAGCCTGGGCGACAGAGCAAGATCCTGTCTCAAAAAAAAAAAAAGTTAAGATGGTAAATTTTACCACAATAAAAAAATAGAAAAAAGCAGAACAGAGAATACAGAAAGCAGGATGTCATCATCGAGATACATGACAAGAAGGACATGGTGTTCCCGATGACGCCCTCTGAGGATCTGGCACAATAAACAAAAGCCTGTGCCTGCAGCTACCATCACGACTCCTCCCAACACCAGGGACAAAAACAAAGTCCTCAAAGTTCTCACAGATCAGAAATAAAACACATCACAAATAAAGGATCACCAATAAGAATGGCAATAGCCATGTGACAGCAAAGGACAATGTGACAAGGCCATCACACTTCCACACAGGAATTACTGTCAACCTTGACGTTCATTCTTGAATCGAATGAGCCAAAATGTCAACTGAAAGGAATATGGGAACCACAATGACCAAAAAAGACAGACCCGAGGTCTCAAAAAATTGACATCCCACGTGCCCTTTCTCAGAAAGCTACAGGAGGATATTCTCCACGGGAGATCAGGGAGTAAACCAGGAAAGGGACCCCCAAGATGGGGGAATCCAAAGAGAAGGGGCAGGGGCAGGGGGAGGGCACAAGGGGGAGAGACTACAGGGCGGAAAACAGACTGAAGAAAATGGGGCCGGGCATGGTGGCTCACGCCTGTAATCCCAGCACTTTGGGAGGTCGAGGCAGGTGGATCACTTGAAGTCAGGAGTTCGAGACCAGCCTGACCAACATGGTGAAACCCCGTCTCTACTAAAAATACAAGAATTAGCCAGGCGTGGTGGCACGTGCCTGTAATCCCAGCTACTTCGGAGGCTGAGGCAGGGGAATCACTTGAACCCGGGGGCTGGAGGTTGCAGTGAGCCAAGATCACGCCATTGCACTCCAGCCTGGCAACAGAGCAAGACTTAATTTAAAAAAAAAAAAAAAAAGATGGGAAATTGTGGAAAACATACTGAGAAAACAAGGAGAGTGCAAATGAAAAAAACAAAACAGGAAATTACCCCCACCCTCTCAAAACACAAGAACAGGCTGAATTAAGAAAAGAAACATAGATTCCTCAGAAAGTTAAACATAGAGTTGTTTTGACTAGAATGAGGGCTCCGCAAGAGTAGGATCTTTGCTTTCTTATTCTTTTATCCCTAGTGCCTACAACAGAGCCTAGGAGGCATCTGGAAAAGATTTCCCGAACAAAATCTCCGTTGTACTAATATTAATTTAGCCAAAAATAGAAAAATAACTATGTTGGAAAGGTGGGATGAGAGGAAACAGACTGGTCATGGGAAGAACTAAATTCTCATCTACCAGACGAGGCAAAGTCAATAGATATTTACAGGTGATAGATCAAGAAACAACAGGATAGGCTGAGCACGGTGGCTCACGCCTGTAATCCCAGCACTTTGGGAGGCTGAGGCGGGTGGATCACTTGAACCCAAGAGTTTGAGACAAGCCTGGGCAACATGGCAAAACACCGTCTCTACAAAAAATACACAAAAATTAGCCAGGTTTGGTGGCACGTGCCTGTAATCCCAGCTACTTGGAGGCTCAAGTGGGAGAATCATCTGAGTCTGGGGAAATCAAGGCTGCAGTGACCCATGCTTGCACCACTGCACTCCAGCCTGGGCGACAGAGTGAGACTATTGAGAAAAATGGAAGCCCATGCATGAAGAGACAGAGAAAGCCGGGTGAGGTGCCCAGGGGAAGGGCAGTGGATTGCTATTATTTGATACAGGGCTTTTAATGCTCTTGACTTGGTAGAGGCAAGTCATATGGCACTTTGATAAAAACAAAATTGAATTTAAAAAAATCAATTCTATGATGATGATGATTATTATTATTTTTGAGACGGAGTCTCACTCAACTGCCCAGGCTGGAGTGCAATGGCACGATCTCGGCTTACTGCAACCACCATCTCCCGGGTTCAAGCGATTCTCCTGTCTCAGCCTCCCAAGTAGCTGGGATTACAGGAACCCGCCATCATGCCTGGCTAATTTTTGTATTTTAGTAGAGACAGGGTTTCACCATGTTGGCCAAGCTTGTCTGGAAGTTTTCACCTCAGGTGATCTGCCCACCTCAGCCTCCCAAAGTGCTGGGATTACAGGTGTGAGCCACCGCACCCGGCCAGTTCTATTATTTTATTGGCTGGTGGTTCATGCCTGTAATCCTAGCACTTTGGGAGGCTGAGGTGGGTGGATCGCTTGAGGCCAGGAGTTCGAGACCAGGCCGGCCAACATAGCTAAAACCTCTCTCTCCTACAAATACGAAAATTAGCTGGGCATGATGGCGCACACCTGTAATACCAGCTACTCGGGAGGCTGAGGCATGAGAATCGTTTGAATCCAGGAGGCAGAGGTTGCAGTGAGCTGAGATCACGCCACTGCACTCCAGCCTGGGCAACACAGTGAGACTCTGTCTCAAAAAAAAAAAAAAATCAATTATACTATTTTATGATGTCTGTTCATTCTAAGCAAACTTGCACCTGAGGTAGGTAGAGGGAGGTGGCGAGAGGCTGAGCAGACACACGGCCAGGAGGCCAGGCCTGGGGGAGGTCTTGCTAATGCCTCCTGGGTCACAGGAGGCCGAATGGCTCATGAAGGAGGCAGCACTGTGAGCAGAAGCAAGACCAGGTCGATCCTGGGAATCTGTCTTCGAGGCCTACAAGCGACTCCTGAGCAAGATCCTCACAGAGGCCAGTTTCCCATCTGCCACCAGTGAGAGGGTTAGAACAGGTATTCCCAAGGCTACAGCAAGGTCACTGACTTGGATGAGCCACACAGTGAAGGAGGCCCCACAGCAGGCCTGTCACCACTCCTGAGTTACAGTGGACAGAATATCACCAGTGCAGCTTCCTCTGCAAGAGACACAAGAGTGTTCCTCACCACTGGCAGAGCATCTGGGAAAATGTACAGCTACCTGGAAAATAGCAGCAGCTACTGCTTAATGCATGGTTCTTTCTTTTTTTTGAAACAGGGTCTCACTCGGTCACCCAGGCTGGAATGCACGGAATGCAGTGGCGTGATCTCAGCTCACTGCAACCTCTACTTTCCAGGTTCAAGCGATTCTCCTACTTCAGCCTCCCAAGTAGCTGGAAGTACAGGCGTGCACCACCACGCCCAGCTAATTTTTGTATTTTAGTAGAGACGGGGTTTCACCATGTTGGCCAGGCTGGTCTCGAACTCCTGACCTCGTGATCCACCCACCTCGGCCTCCCAAAGTGCTGGGATTACAGGTGTGAGCCACTATGCCTGGCCAATGCACGTTTCTTAACTTCTAGTGTGTTAGGTCGTTTTGTTGACTTCTCACAAGAACCCAGAGATGATTGTGTCTACATGTTTTAAATCCCCGCTTTCTAGGTGATGAAACTGAGGCCCAAAGAGGTTAAGTAACTTGCTAGTAAGTAGGAAAGAAGCTTGCATTTGAACTCAGGCCATTATTTCATCGTGTTCCTATGACACTTCATTTTGGCTAGTACGCAAGGCTGATGGTTTTGTTGATTCAATAGTCAATTTCTATTGCATGTCCACTATGTGCCAGGCACTGTACCTGGTGCTTACTGCAGTGAAAAAGCAAACCAGGACACTGCCCTCAGTGCAAAGAGTCTACTCTACTAGACAGAGGGCAAATAACAAGTAATAAGTGCCGAGAAGGAAAAAAACAGAGCGACACAGGGGAGAAGACAGGGCAGAGCAACGCAGCGCAGGTGGTCAGAAAGCCCCTCTGAGAGGGTCAGACCTCAAGAATGAGAAGGAGTCAGCTATGCAGTGTGGAGAAATGAACCTGCCTTTGTCATGCCCAAGTAGGGATGTACCTTGTGCCCCCCTCCAAAGCGCCCAATACCTGGACGATATAGAGGCAGGGACAGTACTGGGCCCCTCCTCCAATGCTGATCCCGATCAGGTTCTGAGCATCCTTCTGCAGGGTCACCTTCCCAGGCACAGTCGGGATTCCGCTAGAAAGGAAAGCAAGCTAGGCTGACTCTCCTGGCAGAAGGATGACTGGAGCGGGTGGGCCCTCTAAAACTCCTGAGGGGCTCCACTGGCTGCCCAGCTTTTTCTCTCCCTCCCTTGGACAAAACAACATTTTGTGCTGGAACATGCACAGCTCTTGGAGTTAAGCAGATGTGGGATCAAACCCCAGCTCTGCCATTTATCAGCTGTGGAACTTGGTTTTTTTTTGAGATGGAGTCTTACTCTTGTTGCCCAGGCTAGAGTGCAATGGCGCAATCTCGGCTCACTGCAACCTCCGCCTCCCGGGTTCAAGTGATTCTCCTGCCTCAGTCGCCCAAGTAGCTGGGACTACAGGTGCCTGCCACCACGCCTGGCTGATTTTTTTGTATTTTTAGTAGAGACGGGGTTTCACCATGTTGGCCAGGCTGGTCTTGAACTCCTGACCTCAGTTGATCCGCCTGCCTCAGCCTCCCAAAGTGCTGGGATTACAGGCGTGAGCCACCGTGCCTGGCCAGCTATGGGACTTGGGTAAGTCAGCCTCTGTGCATCTCAATTTCCTCATCCATAAAATGTGGATGAGCACCCTTATCAGAGTTCTTCTAACCATGCATGGAGGGCACTAACAGCAACCCAGTCCATAGCAGGCACTCCATAAAAATAGGTCCCCCTTCCCTTTCATTTATTCGATCTCTGAGATTTGAGCCAGGTTCTGTCCTTGTCACCTTATCAGGCATCTATGTAGTATGATGGCCACCTACTCCAGGGAGTCTTCCTCTATTAAACTGTCCACCTCCCACCTCTCAACTGCTCGATTACCTCTCGGTTTCCACTATAAATTAGCATTGACTGGTGTTTTATGATAAGTACTCACGCTGATTCACTTATTCATTCAAAAAACATTCGCTAACAACCTACTGACGTCAAGTCCCTTACTAAGTGCTGAGCATAGAGAAAGGCATTGCACCCACTCCTTGATCTGAAAGAGGATATATTCTAATGGGAAAATCTGTCCTACTAACAACCTATGTTGGGAAGGAAGGGTGTCTACAATATTCCTATTCAACCTTCAAAACCTGGTTCAATTGCTACGTCCTCCATGAAGCTTTCCTTGACCATCCCAGCAGAAGCACTGCTCCATCTGCTTTGCTCTTCTTGTCACCAAGTCATGCTAATAGTGCCCTTATGGCACTGAGCTGTGATTATCCCTTTAACTGTCCACAGCCCCCTACAAATAGTGAGCTCCTGGGAGAGCAGGGTCCATTGCTGCTTCAGTACAACAACTGATCCACCGCTGAGAAGCAAGGGTCTGTGGGACTGGGAAGTCCAGGGAAATGAGGAACTTGGGGCTCCTATACTGCTGGAACTTGGGGGAATAAAATACTCACAGTTTATCCTCTTCGATGTCATAATCCAAGTCTGCAAACATGGTTCCGAGAGTTGGAGTGGGCTGGCTAACTGCCCAGCTCGGTAGGGGAATGGGGAACTGGATCCGGGAGAGAAAGGAGCATAGGATTTAAGGAACCCAAGTGCCTAAATGCCAACGCCACCCCTCCCTCCACCACCTCATACGGGACAGCAGTGCCCTCCTCTTCCCTCTGGAGTGGGATGGGACAGTCTCCGGGTGGGGGGCTGGGTAGGTGATTCTTACTAGGTACAAAGGGGGGCTCCAGGCCAGGGCGATAGGCTCAGATCCCAGAGTCCGCCCCACGGGTCTCCAGGCCCTGGGGAGCTGCCTCTGTCGCTCACCGGAAGCGTTGGTCCCACAGCCGGGTCCCGGCCAGGCTGGTACCTGAACCCACCTGCCGTTCCACCTGGCGGTGGCCGCGATTGTCACGTCACTTCCGGCAAGACGCGGAAGTCCCGGCTTTCCCCCCACTGGATATTTGCTCCAATCCCTGCAGACAATCCTTCCCTTCCCGGCTCCCGGGACGCTCGGAACCAAGAACGAGAACAAGTATTGGCGGAAGCTCGCTGTTAGTAGGAACAAGCGAAAACAGAGGAACGGTCTGGACAGGCTGACAGCGTCTAACCCCGCCCTTTGCCCTGCCGCCGCCGCCATCTTGGGAAGGGCAGGGTTTGTCCCAGCTTCCTCAGCTGCACTCAGGGGCCCGCGCCGGCCCGGCGGTTGCCATGGCAACGAAAGCATCCCTGAGCCGGGGTTACCTCCGGCGAGGCTCAGTGGACTATAAACCCCAAGACATCATGCCCTTTCACCCCTTCACCACCTGGGCCTGTGACTCCCCTACTAGAATGGCCCTTTGAGGTCCCAGCCCATCCCAGTTTCGCCAACTTAAGTGCCAAAGAGCGGGGAGTGATTTTGTGCGGGGCCACACACAGTTGGTGTAAGATCTGGATCGTGGCCCTGAAACTCCCGCCGCCTAGTCTAGGGATCTTTGAACGTCCAAACACTAAACAGAGAGCCAGGAGAGGTGTATTCAGTGGGTCTTGCTATTAAGGACAGACTGGACATGCTCCCTTCCCTTTATGTGCCTCAGTTTCCCCATATGTAAACCAAGGCCATTGAGGTAAATGCTTTCTATGGTATATGGTGAAAGGTTTCTCACACCCCCTCCTCCTTCCTTAGTCCTGAGGAGCAGCCCCCCTGGGGTCCCAGGGAGGGTCACGGTCCGCATGTACCTGAGGCTCGGGAAATGCTATCAGTGCTCCCCAGAGTCCGAATCTTGTCTCCTCGCCAGCCTCTGCTGCCACTGCTATTGTGTAAAGTGGGTTCCCTGGGGGAGGTTGGCTCTCCCAGAGCCACAGCCAGGCATCCACCTCATCCGGCAGCATGGGGCCAGGCCCATCCAGCTTGCTTCCCCAGCTGCCCCAGGAGCCATGGAAGAAAGATACAGAAGGATGATTATCCACATATCCCACGGCCGGTGGAAGCCCCGCCCTACTCTCTCCTTAGGTGGCTAATTGAGTCCGGACAGATGTGCAGAATGCCGTGACAATAACAGCCTTCCCACGTGTCCACTGCTCTCCTGTGAGATCACTTTCACAGGATTTGAAAGCTCACCACCACCCTGTGAGAGAAGACCAAATCTTGCCAGCCACATTGTGCAGGCAAGGAAACGGAGGCCCTGGGAAGCCTCTTCCTCTGGTATCATAGCGGCAGGGCTGGGGCTGGGAAAACCAAGCTCTGTTTCCAGGCCAGAATTTTGGTTTCAAAAAGCAGCAGTCTAAGGCCAGGTGCGGTGGCGCACACCTGTAATTCCAGCTATTTGGGAGCCTGAGGCAGGAGAATCGCTTGAAAATAGGAGAGGGAGGTTGTAGTGAGCCGAGATCAGGCCATTGCACTCCAGCCTGGGCGACAGAGAGAGACTCCGTTTCAAAAAAAAAAAAGGCAGCAGTCTCCAAACCCAGGTGCCTTAACATGGATTGTGGCTCTTCCAGCCCATGACCATGCTAGCTCAGGCCCAGGCTCTGCCATTTTGTAGCTGGGAGATCTTGGGTGAGTCGCTGTCTCACTCTGAGCCTCAGGTACGTGTAGAATGGGGAAATGACACCTGCCACCAGGTATTTGTGAAAGTCAAGATTAAAAGGAGAGGCTGGGCGCGGTGGCTCACGCCTGTAATCCCAGCACTTTGGGAGGCTGAGGAGTGTGGATCATGAGATCAGGAGTTGGTATAAGATCTAGATCATATATCTGGACCAGCCTGGCCAACATGGTGAAACCCCGTCTCTACTAAAAATGCAAAAATTAGCCAGGCATGGTGGTATGCACCTGTAATCCCAGCTACTCAGGAGACTGAGGCAGGAGAATCGCTTGGACCCGGGTGGCGGAGATTGCAGTGAACCGAGATCGCGCCATTGCATGCCAGCCTGGGTGACAGAGCCAGACTCCATCTCAGAAACAAAAGATTAAAAGGAGAAACAGGTGTGAGTGCTTTGTAAACAATTTGCATGGCACAGCTGTCACTCTGACCTCAAAACCCCCTACCCACTCTGGCCCTTCTTCTCAGGTTGGGGAAGATGCCCCTGTTTTCTGCCTTGTTCATCCCTTGCCTGCAGGCTCCGCTCTAATTCACCTCTTCCCGGCAGCCTTAGCAGACAATCTCAGCTCATATATCTTGCTCCCTTTTCTGAGCTGAGCTCCTGAGCAGTTGCTATTTGAATCATTTGTTCAGCAATTTGCTGTGTATTTGCCTTGTGAAATCTCTTCATGGTTTTCCTGAGCCAATTCTGCAGTGATTAATTTATTACATGCTTGTATTTTGTCTGGCAAGGTTTTTATCCCCTTTAAATTTGGGGCTTACAGCTCATAGCTACGCCTGGCTAATTTTTGCAATTTTTTTCTTTTCTTTTCTTTTCTTTCTTTCTTTTTTTTTTTCTTTGAGATGGAGTCTCCCTCTTGTCGCCCAGGCTGGAGTTAAGTGGTGCGATCTCAGCTCACTGCAACTTCTGCCTCCCGGGTTCAGGCGATTCTCCTGCCCCAGCCTCCTGAGTAGCTGGGATTACAGGCGCCCACCACCATGCCCGGCTAATTTTTTGTATTTTTAGTAGAGACGGGGTTTCACCATGTTGATCAAGCTGGTCTCGAACTCCTGACCTCAGATGATCCACCCACCTCAGCCTCCCAAAGTGCTAGGATTACAGTTGTGAGCCACTGCACCTGGCCTTTTTCTCAACTTACTTTCTAATCTCTGGCACCCCCATCTTCCATAGTATACTTAGAATCCATCAACAGGTGTCATTGTGACAGACAAGAAAAAGGAAATCAGATTGCTTTGTAATACTGTTGGTGTGAAAATGTCACAACCTGCTTAGCTTTTTTAGCAGAGGGGGTCACTGGAATCAGCCCACACAGCAGAGGAACATGTCCCAGTCAATTGAGGGGGTCTGGTTGGGACCAGGAATCTATTTGAGGGAAAAGAAAGTTCAAGTACCTTATTCTATCACCCAAGTAAGCACTTCTTGTTTTTCCAGCTGGACAGGAAGCCCCTGGTTCGGGGCCAGGTGCTCTGTTTTGCCCTTCTCTGAATTGGCCACGATGTCCAGCGCAATACCTGGCTGCAAATCTGGTGCTTGCAGAAATCGCTGCGGCTTTAGTATGAGATGAAACTTTCTCTGGATCCAGGAGGAGAGGACTTGCATGAGCAGAGGGGGTCAAGAGGGTTGGGTGTCTCAGGGAAGAGATGAGGAGGGCCTCAACAGGGACAGTGGCAGTGGCCTGAGTTTCCTCCACAGGGCTGGAATCACCAGGCCGTGTCTAGGTCCTGAATTTTGGTTTTGGAAAAACAGCATCCTTCAAACCCAACAGCTGTAACAGAGATTGGAGCTCCCCTAGCCCAGGGTGGCTCCAGCTCAAATCCCAGCTCCACTCTTTTAGCTGGAGGACCTTGGACATGTCACCCTTTGTCTCTGAGCCTTGGTGTCTGTGGAGTGAGGATGATGATCCTCCCAAGACAGTGGTTAAAAAGAGGAAGACAGGCTGGGCGCAGTGGCTCTCGCCTGTAATCCCAGCACTTTGGGAGGCCGAGGCAGGTGGATAACCTGAGGTCAGGAGTTCAAGACCAACCTGGCCAACATGGCGAAACCCCGTCTCTACTAAAAATACAAAAAATTAGCCGGGCGTGGTGGCACACGCCTATAGTCCAAGCTACTTGGGAGGCTGAGGCATGAAAATTGCTTGAATGCGGGAGGCAGAGGTTGGAGTGAGCCGAGATTGCACCACTGCACTCCAGCCTGGGCAACAGAGTGAGACTCCGTCTCAAAAAAATAGATAAATAAATAAATTAATTAATTAAAAGGGGAAGACAAAAAAGGAGAACCAGGTGTGAAAGTGTTTTGCGAGTGATTCACAGAGCACAGATGTCAGAGGTTTTTATCGTCCTTCTGTTTATAGCTATTTTGCTGAACCCCTGCAGAGGTCGGGGCCGATGGTGCATTTCATGAACCCTAAGATGCTCAGGCCTCTGCATCAGACTTGGCTGGGAAGTGTCTTAAATGCAGATCCCTGGGCTCCAGCTTAGACCTGTTGGATTGGAATCTCTGGGGAAGGGGAGATCTTGGGGGCTGCATTTTCGCAACGCTCTGTGGGTGATGCCAATGCCTGCTGCGGTTTGAGGACCACTGTGCCAGAGGTGAGAACATGCAGTGTCTGTGCACACTGAGGTGGGCCTGTGCGAGGCACCAGCAATCCGTGTCCCCAGGGCCTCACCATCCCAGATAATCCAGGGTGTTGCGTGGGCCCGGAGGAGGGGCTCCTGCCCAACCAAAGGCCAGCGAAGGCTTCCTGGAGGAGGTGCTGGTGGTGCCCAGGCTGAGGCAGGCAAAGGGAAAGAGGGAAAGGTGCAAAGGCTTCCCGTGGCGGGTGGTGGAGGGGACAAGGCACAGTCCCAGGCCCCTGGGAATCGCAGTCTGGCGAGGGAGACAGTTGGGGGCAGCGACTGGCAAGGGCCTCAGAGGGGAGGGCTGGGTAGAGCCCCTTCCTCAGGATGGGTAGGATTCTAGGGGTTGAAATCAGGGTGAGGACACCCACCTACTCCCAGGAGGCTGAGCTAGGGCGGCGGCTCACACCCTCCCTCTTCAGCTCGCATCTCCTCCTCCCCTGAGGCTACTCCTGAGTCCGTCCAGGCGCCAAGGCAAGTGACCTCTGTCCTGGCCTGGCCCTGCCACTGAAAGTTGTGTGACCCTGGGTCTGGGTCCCCTCCAAGCTTCCATCCCTGTGGCTCCGTCTGAGATTCAATCCACAAGGGCTGGCTCTGCTGCCCACATTCCTGGGGAAGTGCTGCCACCCGGTGGCCATTAGGAAAGACAGCTCCTGGAGCACGCGGCCCGCCACAGAGCCCCCAGCTTTCCGCACCTGCCACTGTCGCCACCTGCTGACTCAGGGCTGCCGTGGAGCTCAGGGGTCTGTATACTTTGTGGACGGGTGAGCTGGTCTTGTGCATGCCCGCGTTGTGCCTGGCTGTCCGCTCTGCAGCCACCGCTGTCCCCCAGCCGAGGCCTGCAATCCTCCTTACTTAAAGGTCCAGAAGCCGGAGTGGGTTGCTGGAATTCAGCTCAGTTCGTCGTCAACATAGACATTTAGAGTGTGGGCTTTCAGGTCAAGCAGACGACAGTGACCCGGGCAGCTAAGGCTGGGTGCCTTCTGTGCACAGGCCCAGAACCGAGCAGCTTCCATTCCCTTCCTCACATGAGCCTCACAGCAGTGTGGTGATCCCACATGCTCACTCATTCACGCACTCATTCATTCAGTACATTTTTCTTGAGCACCTACTACGTCCAGGCCACACACCAGGGAACGAGACAAGCAAGGCCCTGCCTTGATAGAGCCCTCGTGAGTGGGAGGAGCAGGCAATCAACTGGTAAGCAAAGAGTTGACTGCTTCCAGCTGGTGGCAGACACCAGAGATTTTATAAAATGGAGGGGTGGGAAAGGTGATGGGTGCAGTGGCGCGATCTTGGCTCACTGCAACCTCCACCTCCTGAGTTCAAGTGATTCTCCTGCCTCAGCCTCCCAAGTAGCTGGGATTACAGGCAAGCGCCACCACAACTGGCTAATTTTTGTGTTTTTTGTAGAGATGGGGTTTCACCATGTTGGTCAGGCTGGTCTCGAACTCCTGACCTCAGATGATCCACCCACCTCGACCTCCCAAAGTGCTGGGATTACAGGCATGAGCCACTATGCCTGGCCCAGGGGGTTCTTTAGACGTGCCGCTCTGAGAGGGTCTCTCTGAGGAAGTGCTCAGGGACACCCAGGAGGAAGCAGCAGGGCGTTTCTGCGGCAGGTGTGCACTGTCACCCTCAAGCGGCCTGAGAAGAGGTGGTGCAGCCAGCAGGGGCCAGTCCTGCGTTCTTATCCCCCTCTTGTCACAGATGCCTGCAGAGTGGCTGGTGATGGGGCCTGCGCTTGCTTGCTAACCAGTCTCTAGTCTGTTTTCTACAGACAGCCAGGTCCCTGTGGGCAGAAACCTGGCCCATCCAGGTCACATCTCTGTCCCCAGCACCTAGCACACTGGCTAGCATGGGGTGACACTCAACACCTGTCTGTTAAATGAATGAATAACTGTGTCATCAAAAGTAGGAGGCCAGATACCAGGCAGTGGCCAGAGATAGCAGAGGCCTCAAGTGCTGGCATCAGAACCCCAGACTTGATCTGCCTGGCACTGAGGAGCCACAGAAGACTCTAGCCGGGAAGGGAAAGGGCAGTCAGACTTGTGTTTGCCTGGAGGCCCCTGGCTACCATAGACAGGCTGAGGGAGACAGGGGGGCCCATTGGTGGGGATGGGAACACCACCCCCTGAGTCTGAAGCAAGGTGGGGACAGGACCCAGGGGCCGAACCACTGGGAAGCTGGGTTGGGGCAGCAGAAGGGAGGCCTGGCGGGGTGGGCCAGCCCTGAGGACAGCGGGTCACGAGGGTCACCTTCCTCTTGGGACAGGAAAGTGTCTCCCACTAGGGTGGCAGCAGTGGAGGCGAGGGAGGGGGTTAGTGTGGCTCAGGGGCATCCGCATCCTTCTGGAAGCCTGTTCTTAGCTTTGATGGATCCCTGGCTCTCACCACCCTTGGGGTACAGGGCAGCTATCTCCTCTCTTCTCCACTGCCTCCTCCAGTCAGCTGCCTCCAGCCAAAGGTGGGAGGTGGGCTTCCGTGGGGCCCCAAGTCCCCCCAGCCACCCCCAAAGTGGTTCTATTCCTGGCTCGGCTGGGCGTGTAATGGGCTGACCTCTGCCCTCCCCTCCACCCCCACCCCCCATGTGCCCTGCCCCCGGGTTAGGTCAGTGATGAAAGCTGGTGGGAGCCCAGGGGGATGGGGAGGAGAGGGACAGAGCCTGATTGTTCCCCACCCTGGCAGCACAGTGGCTGGCTCATTGCGCTCGCCCTCTCTCTCTCCTCCCTCTCCCTTGGTCAGGGTTCTCAAACTCAAGTGGGAAGCTATTTCTCTTGTAGATGCTGCAACACCCCATCCCCACCCCTCCCTCAGAGGTTCTGAATCTTTGGGACCTTAGTGGGTTGGAGGCCCATGATTCAGACACAGGCGGGGAAGGCTGGTGGGACCACACTTTGGAAAGAGCCGGGGACCAGAGCCAGAAGACCTTGGGTGTCACTGGCCCCCTCTGAGCCTCAGTGACCTCAGTGTGGAATGGGGTCTTGGGACGCGAAGAGCAAGGCCAGCCTAGAGGAGAGGGATGAGGACAGACAGCAGGTGAAACTGATGTGAATGCGCCTGGTCCTTCCTTTCTCCTCGCCTGCCACGCCCCGACCTTCAGTATCCCTGTGTGCGTTGGTCTGTGCCGGGCTCTTTGTCCCATGGGTCTCGGTGGCCGCCTCTGCAGTGATAAATCCCAGACTGGCCTAAAGACCGTAGCTGTACGCCTGGCCTTGATAGTGGGTAGGGCAGGTGTCCCACCTCGTTCTGTAGGAGTGTCTCAGCTATTCTTACTGCTTTGCTCTTTCTCACTGATTTTTGGAATCAGCTTGATTAGCTCCATCAGAAAGCCTGTCAGGTTTTGATCAGGACTGAGTTGAACTGACATTAATTTGGGGAGAATGAACATGTTTATACTGAATCTCTCTATGCAACTTAATAGCTGTCTCTTTGCATTCACTTACATCTTTTATTTCTTATTAAGGGAATTTTTTAAAGTACAAAATTAGAGAGAAGAGGGTAATGACGCTTTTTGTACCTAACACCAAGTTGCCCAGTGATCCCTCACCGCCGCTCCATTTTCAGCCACAACCCTGCCCATGCTGCACCCCTTCCTCCATCTCAGCTTTCCTTATGGTGAAGCAAATATTGAGGATCTTCTTTAATGTCTTCCAATAACATTTTTTGTCTATGTTTTTATTTTCAAATAATTTTAGACTCACATGAAGTTGCAAAAATAGTACAGAAGGGTCCCAGGTACCCTTTTCCCAACTTCCCCCAAAGGTAACGTCTTATATAGCTAGAGTACTTGACCACAGAACTTTATTCAGAGTTCGCTAGTTCTGCATGCATTCGGGTAGGTGTGTGTGCACACGTGTGTATGCCTGTGTGTGCATGTGTATGTGTGTACAAGTGCCTCTGTGTGTGTGTGTGTGGTTCTATGCAATTTCATCATGAGTAGATTCAAGTAGCCACCATCACAATTAAGATACAGAACTGACCAGGCGTGGTGGCTCACCCCTGTAATCCCAGCACTTTAGGAGGCCAAGGCAGGCAGATCGCTTGAGGTCAGGAGTTTGAGACCAGCCTGGCCAACATGGTGACACTCTGTCCCTACTTAAAATACAAAAATTAGCTGGGCGGGGTGCAGTGGCTCCCGCCTGTAATCCTAGCACTTTGGAAGGCTGAGGAGGGCGGATTGCCTGAGCTCAGGAGTTCGAGACCAGCCAGGACAACATGATGAAACCCCATCTCTATTAAAATACAAAAAATTAGCTGGACGTGGTGGCGCATGCCTGTAATCCCAGCTACTTGGGAGGCTGAGACAGGAAAATTGCTTGGACCTGGGAGGCGGAGGTTGCAGTGAGCCAAGATCGCACCATTGCACTCCAGCCTGGGCAACAGAGCAAGACCCTGTCTTAAAAAAAAAATTAGTTGGGCATGGTGGCACGCACCTGCAATCCCAGCTACTCAGGAGGCTGAGGCACGAGAATCACTTGGACCTGGGATCATGCCACTGCACTCCAGCCTGGGCGATAGAGTGAGACTACATCTCAAAAAAAAAAAAAGAAAGAAAGAAACTGCCAAGCCATTTTTCAGTGTGCCTGTACCTCAATAGCATTTTAGGTTTATCACCATAAATATTTCGTTAGATGTAATTTTTGTTATTATTGTAAATGGAAGATTTTTTAAAATTATATGTTGTCAGCTGTGATGTTTATAAATGCAATTACTTTTTTCTTGAGATACAATTTACATACCATAAAAATTCATCATTTTAAAGTGTACGATTCAGTGGTTTTTTGTATATTCTCAAGGTTATATACAACCATCACTGCTATCTAATTCCAGAACATTTTCATCATACCAAAAGAAAACTTAACCCATTCATAGTCACTCCCCAAGCCCTCCTCTCCCCAGCTCCCCGAAGCTACTAATATACTCTCTGTCACTATAGATTTGTCTATTCTGGGCATTTCATATAAATGGAATCACTTCATATGTGACCTTTTACCTCTGGCTTCTTTTGCTGAGGATCATGTTTTCAAGGGTTATCGGTGTTTTAGCTCTAATTAGTTTTTTTGTTTGTTTTGTTTTGTTTTGTTTGAGATGGAGTCTTGCTCTGTCGCTCAGGCTGGAGTACAGTGGCGCGATCTCGGCTCACTACAACCTCCACCTCTCGGGTTCAAGTGATTCTCCTGCCTCAGCCTCCTGAGTAGCTGGGATTACAGGCACCCACCACCACGCCCGGCTAACTTTTGTATTTTTAGTAGAGACGGGGTTTCACCGTGTTGGCCAGGCTGGTCCCGAACTCCTGACCTCACGTGATCCACCTGCCTCGGTCTCCCAAAGTGCTAGGATTACAGGCGTGAGCCACCGCACCCTATAATTAGTTATTGATATTGATTTGATGTAGGAATATCCTTTCTCTGCTAAATTTCATTCATAGTTCTAATACTTTGCCAGTTAGATGATTTGGGGTTTTCTATGAATAGACAGTCATACCACTTATAAATAATACCAGTTTTGCTTTTCTTTTCCAATCCTTATCCCTTTTCTTCATGCCTACTTTCCAGGCTAGGACCTCAGGTGCAATGTTGAATCAACTCATGGATGAGGGGCAAACCCATCCCTGATTTTAAGAAATGTGTCCATTACCCCTTTAAGAACTGTGTTTGTGCTGGGTTTTGTGGATAATTTTTATCAGTTTAAGGAAGTTTCTTTCTCTTTTTTTTGAGACACAGTCTCACTATGTTGCCCAGGCTGGTCTCAAACTCCTGGGCTCAATCGACCCTCCTACCTCAGCCTTCCAAGTAGCTGGGATTACAGGCGCACACCAACAGGCCCGGTTAAACTTGTATTTTTTGTAGAGACAGGGTTTCACTGTGTTGCCCAGGCTGGTCTCGAACCCCTGGGCTCAAGCGATTTATCTGCCTTGGCCTCCCGAAGTGCTGGGAGCCACCATGCCCAGCCTAAGGAAATTCCTTTCTATCTCCAGTTTGCTAAAACATTTCTATCTTAAGTAGATGTTGACCTTGATTTCCAGTGCCAAGATGATCATATGACTTTTCTCCCTTAATTTATTAATGTGATAAATTCACTAATAGATTTTTCAAATGTTAAATGATCCTTACATTTCTAAGATAAACTCAGTTTGGGCATGATGCATATATCTGTTTGGCTAATCTTTTATTTAGGATTCTCACATCTAATTTCACAAGCAGGGTTGGTCTATGATTTTCCTGTGAGTGCACTTTGTAAAGGGAAAGGAGCCGTCTCAGGTCTCAAGTGTCTGTCTCTGATGATCTGCCCACCTCGGCTTCCCTCTCTCCCGGTCTCTGTCTCTTTCTCAGGGTCTCTATCTGTCCCTCCCCATACACACTGCTTTGGCTTGAGGGTGGTTGGCCAAGGGGGTGCCCTCTCAGGGGACAGAGAGTGGGAGGCTCCCCCAGGCCTCCGAGGGAGCCTCAGGGGTTGGGAGCTAGAGAGCCTGGGACCAGCCAAGCAGCCATTGCTCCTCAGCCCCTCGCTGAAAAGCGAGGCTCTGTTCTTCTCAGCCCCACACACTCAGCCCTCAGAGGAAGTGGCTAAAAAGGAGCTGGGGTCAGGGGTTAATGACCCCATTGTGCCCAGGGCTGACGGATGGCCCTGCTTGTCAGGGACACCCCTTCATCCTTGGAGGGAGGGGCCCCGCTGGCCTTTGATAACCATTGGGGGCCACCTTCCTGCTGGGGGGTGCCAGGCTAGCCTCTTTGGTGGGGTCTGGTCTGCTGAGGCCCTGGCATGCAGCCCTCCGCCCCCTCTCTACACCCACCCCATTCTCTACATGGGGCTACAGGGAGCCACGGAGGGGGCTGCTGACCGAGGGAACTGCCCATGGCCCTCAACCATCAATCTTGGGCGCCTGGCACAGGCCTGGGCCACGCCAGCCCTGTCCATCTTCTGGACAATTGTACCCTCAGAAGTGACCTGGCGAAGCCCAGCTCTCCCACATTTTGGATGGGGAAACCGAAGGGGTGGCTTGGGCAGGAACATGACCAGGAATAGAACCAGGTCGTGTGACGTCCTGCCCAGATGTGCCAGGATGGGGCCAGCACGGGGACATGGAGGCAAAGCAGACACAGTCTCTCCCTCGAGGGACTCACAGGCTGGAAGTGGAGGATCAGCATGTCAACCAAAAATTATAACGGAGGAATAGGGGGTACCAGAAAAGGGAACCCCAGCCGAGCCAGCAAGCCAGGGAGGCTTCCAGGAGGAGAAGATGCTGGGGCTGATTATTTTTTCTTTTTCTTTTTTTTTTTGAGACAGAGTCTCGTTCTGTCACCCAGGCTGCAGTGCAGTGGCACAATCTCAGCTCACTGCAACCTCTGCCTCCTGGGTTCCAGCGATTCTCCTGCCTCCAGCCTCCTACGTAGCTACCACCACGCCCGGCCAATTTTTTGTATTTTTAGTAGAGACGGGTTTCACCATGTTGGCCAGGCTGGTCTCAAACTCCTGACCTCAGATGATCTGCCCACCTCAGCCTCCCAAAGTGCTGGGATTACAGGCATGAGCCACCGTGTCTGGCCTTATTTTTTATTATTTATTTATTTTTGAGAAAAAGTCTTGCTCTGTCTCCCATACTGGAGTTCAGTGGCACAATATCGGCTCACTACAGGCTTGACCTCCCAGGCTCAAGCAATCTTCCCACTTCAACCCCCCAAGTAGCTGAGACCACAGGTGTGTGCCACCACACCCAGTTAATTTTTTAATTTTTTTGGAGAGATGAGGTCTCACTACATTGCCCAGGCTGGTCTCAAACTCTTAGGCTCAAGCAATCTTCCTGTGGGGCTGATTCTTAAAGGGGGAGTAGAAGTTAGACCAAAGTAGATGGGGACAGCAGGGAAAGGTATTCCAGGCAGAGGGAACAGCATATGCAAAGGCATAGACTAAAACCAGCTGTGAGAATCACAGCAGTTCAGCAGTGAGGGAGGAGGCTAAGGAGGCCAGCAGAGGCCAGGTTTTCCAGGGCCTCACATATCGTGTTAAGAAGTAAGATGTTGGCCAGGCCCGGTGGCTCACGCCTGTAATCCCAGCACTTCGGCAGGCCAAGGCAGGCAGATCACCTGAGGTCAGGAGTTCGAGACCAGCCTGGCCAACATAGTGAAACCCTGTCTCTACTGAAAATACAAAAATTAGCTGGGCATGATGGCATGGGCCTGTAATCCCAGCTACTCAGGAGGCTGAGGCAAGAGAATCGCTTGAACCCGGGAAGCAGAGGTTGCAGTAAGCCGAGATCGCGCCACTGCACTCCAGCCTGGGCGTCACAGCGAAACTCTGTCTCAAAAAAAAAAAAAGGGCTGGGCACGGTGGCTCACGCCTATAATCTCAGCACTTTGGGAGGCCGAGGCAGGCGGATCACAAGGTCAAGAGATCGAGACCATCCTGGCCAACATGGTGAAACCCCGTCTCTACTAAAAATACAAAAGTTAGCTGGGCATGGCGGCAGGCGCCTGTAATCCCAGCTACTTGGGAGGCTGAGGCAGGAGAATCACTTGAACACGGGAAGCGGAGGTTGCAGTGAGCCAAGATCGTGCCACTGTACTCCAGCCTGGCAGCAGAGTGAGACCTCAGCCTCAAAAAAAAAAAAAAAAAAAAAAAAAAAGAAGTAAGATGTTAAGATGTTTAGACTCGGCAGTTAGTTTGTTACTTGTGTGGCATTGACCATTGACCCTTCAAACACACTTGTGGCCCTAAGTTCCTCCTGGTGCTACAAAAAAAAAAAATCCTCATAGGCATCATTTTTAGTGGCTGTGTCATATTCTGTCTCAGGATTGTGCTATGATGCACTTTACCAATCCTCTACTGGTTTGTGTTTTGTTTTTGTTTTTTTGAGACAGAGTCCTGCTCTCTGACCCAGGCTGGAGTGCAGTGGTATGATCTTGGCTCACTGCAACCTCCGCCTAACGGGTTCAAGCGAATTTTGTGCCTCAGCCTCCCTAGTAGCTGGGATTACAGGCACCCGCCACCACGCCCGGCTAATTTTTGTATTTTTAGTAGAGACGGGGTTTCACCATGTTGGCCAGGCTGGTCTTGAACTCATGACCTCAGGTGATCCGGCCGCCTCGGCCTCCCAAAGTGCTGGGATTGCAGGCATGAGCCACTGCGCCTGGCCGTAATCCTCTACTGTTGATTAAGGTTGTGGCCAGTTATTCACAATTAGACACATCGCAATACAGATCTTTGGGCATGAATCTTTATTTATACCTAATTTGCTTTAACAAAGTGTCATACAAATGTAGCTTCCATTTGCATGAAGTCATCACAGCCACCAAACCAGCAGAGCATCCGCGTGTCCTTCAACAAGCGCCCCATAGGTGTCACGTCTGTGTTATACAGTGGCTCTAGGGCCTCCCTTGAAATTTGGCTGCAAATGTTATCGACAAAACCAACTTACCACCTGTCTTCTCTCTTCCTGGGCCCTCTCTCCTCCCATGCATCTTTCTAATTCACCTCCAGCCTAGGAAATGGAAGCACCCAAGGCATCAGGACTGTGTCAAAAGGAAGAATAAATGGACTTCGAGTGGGTCAATGAGGCACAGGAGGGGCTCGCTCAGGTCGAAGTGCCTGATTTGGGTCCAGGGTCGGGGGAACTCTCCCCAGCCCCAATGGGAGTGTGTGTGCATAGGGGTAGTGGTGGAGAGATGGCGCCCTGTGGGTAATTAGGGGAAAGTGCTTTGAATCTGCCCAGAGCATACAGGCATAAGGGCAAACTGACTAAGGCCCTACTGTGTGCTGAGCCTGGTGGAGTGGAGGGCAGTGACAGGTACAGCCTGGGTGGGAGAGGAAGGTGCAGTCCTCAGCTGAGGGATGGGGCTGGGGGCCTGGGGAAGCACCGGGAGCTACCTAGCCTCTCTCAGTTCTCCTCAGTATCCACACCAGGTGCGCTGATGACAAGTTGCCCAGGACCAGGCAGGGGCACCTCTGAAAAGCTGTAAATAAACCCACAGAGGACAGGCCCCTTGCTCCCCAGGCCAGGGGCACATGGCCAGCACTCGGAGCTCTCAGAAGAGAAAGAACAACCCTGTTTCAGACGGGACCTTCCACACAGCCCAGCAGTGGCATGTGGGCCCTCACCCAGCACCACCCACCCTTTCTGGTCCCCAAGGCTTCCTTCTTCTGGGACCTTCAGTAGAGACAGTAAACCCCCTGAAGCCCTACACTCCTGACACCCCTCCTCTATTGCAGAGAGGAGAGGCCATTGGACAGGGCCCCTTGGCCTCCCCTCCGGCCACCAGCTTTGCAGCTCTCAGTCCTCACCCCACCTGCTGCCCGCCTGGGAGTGGGGGGCCCCCACCCAGCTCTAGAACCCTCCATCTCTGCAGGAGCCCCTCTCCCACTGGCCCAGCCCTCTTCTGTGTGGTCAGCAGCTCTTCTCCCCTCTACCCATTCCTTCCTCTCAGCCCAGAAAATAAGAACAGCTATTGCTCTACTCCTTCTCCCTTCCCAGCCCAGCTTCCCCAAAGAACTGTCTACTAGCTGTCTGCACTTCCTTCCCTCCTGAATGCTTGTGACCCTGCTCTGGAGAAGGTGCCATGGCATGGGAAGGCACTCTCCCAAACCCTCTCCTCCTCGTCTCTCCAGGCCACTTTGCTGGCCACCCCACCCTCCTGGACAGTGCGGCTCCTTCTCTGACCCCTCCAGGTGGGTGGGGCAGGCCTGCAGACTTCTTCCTTCCTCTTTTCATTCTCCCACTGGCTCACACCCAGGGGGTCCCTGGAGCCTCTTCACAGTGCCCATCCTGGCACAGGCCATGGGTCAGTCACAGCCCCTGGGCACCTGGGCACCAGGGCACCCTGGGCCTCCCGGCCTCAGTTGGGTTGTGGAGGGAGGAGCCAAGTGTGACCATCACAGAGATCCTCCGGGGCCTCCAGCCCATGACCTGCAGGGACCAGGAGGACCCGGAGGAAGGCAGCCACTGTGTGCTCCTGGACCCAAGCAGACACCAGGGTTCCTCTAGGAGGGGCTGGGGCACCAAACTTCTGGGTGATCTGCTGGCTGGGCCCTCGTTCCTCCAGGAAGAGCAGTTGAGACACTATCCTACCCCATCCTTCCCCAACTCCTCCCCAAAGTCATATGCAGCAAGCCTCCAAAAATTGGTGGTTGGGGTTTACTGCTTCCTGAGGTGGAGTAATCTCCACCCAGGGGCAAAAATGTCCAAGTACAAATATTCTCTTTCTCTCTCTCTTGCTTTTTGATAACAGCTTTATTGAGGTGAAATTCAAATACCATACAATTCATACAGTTAGAGCATACAGTTCAGTGGGTTTTCACATGTTCACAGAGTTGTGCAATATTTTCACAGTCATTTTAGAATATTTTCATCACCCAAAAAAGAAAGCCTGTGCCCGTTAGCCATGATCCTTCCCAGCCCCCAGCCCCAGCCCACCACTCACCCACATTCCTTTCTCTACAGATTTGCCTATTCCAATATTGCAGACTTAATGTCTCTTGCCTCAGTTTCCCCAACTATAAAATGGGGGTGATAATGGTACCTCCAATTTGATAATGGTTGGGAGGGTTCAATGAGTTAACGTAAGGATGCAGGATGAGGTCTGTACAGAGTCAAGGCTATGTAACGTCTACTGTCGTTATTACTTGACCTTGGCTAGGTGTCCGGGGGCTGGAGCTTTTCCACCGCCCACAAGCCTTCCACTTGCCCCATGAGCTCATTCCGCCCTCCCCTCCATCCCCCGCCTGGATCCTCTCCTAGACTCCAGACATCCCAACAGTCCCTCCCCAAGCCTGTCTGTCCTGCTGTGTCCCTCACTCAGGAGATGGAATGACCTTCCACCTGGTCACCTGGGCCAGAAACTGAGGGGTGTCCTGGAAACCTCCCTCCCCCTGTGCCTGCCCCCGCCATCTGGTCCATCAGTCTAGACCGTGTCCTCACATCCCTTCCCTGGCGGCCGCCTTGACCAGTCCCCACCACCAGCACTAGTCACCAGCCTGGCTCTGGCATTCCATGTACTTCCGTCCACCATGCATTGTTCACGGGGCTTCAGGCGAGTCACTCCTCTCTGAGCCGCCGCCTCCTGGAAAATAACACAGGGATAACTACGGTGCCGTCTTCCTTCACTGTGTTGAGGATGACATGAATGAAATACATGAAGAACTTCAGCCTTTGATCAACGTCACTGTTGTCATCATTATTCTCTCTCCTCTGGCTGACTTGACCACTCCTGTCCAGGGTCCTTGCCCCCATGTTCCCCTTGGCACATCCTCCACACGTTTTATAAAAGCTGCCATTACAGAGCGCTGACCGTGTGCAGGACAGCAAGCCCAAACTGCCATGCTCCCTTCACCATCACAACATGCCCACCAGGCAGGTGCCAGTGCCCTCGTTCACAAAGGAGGAAACTGAAGCTGAAGGACCCCCACAGGAGTTAACCATTGCCTCTGGATACACCGCTGGCATCTGTGTATTGATTCAAAGCATTTACTGAACATCTACTGTGTGCTGGCACTGAGCTAGGTGCTAGGAAAACAGTAATGAACCAGACTGGCATATGGTCAGGCCATATGGTGACAACCTTTCTAGAACACAAATCTGACTCCCTTGAAATCCTACAGTGACCACCCCACTGCCCTCAGGATCTAGTCCCCAGACCTTCCCAGGCCACCCTTGGTCCTCAGGAGCTCCCTGCTGACCTCTGTAGCCACTTTGCTGACTGCTCTTCCCCCTGCTGCCTCTCCCACCACCCCTGCCAGGCCCTCTGCTCCAGCCCATGGCCTGGGGTGCCTCTCCCCACCAGTTTTGCCATTCACATCTGCTTTCCTACCCTTTTCTCAATTTCTTTTTTTTTTTTTTTTTTTTTTTGAGACAGGGTCTCACTGGCCCCCAGGCTGGGGTGCCATGGTGTGATCTCGGCTCACTGCAGCTTTGACCTCACAGGTTCAAGTGATCCTCTGGCCTCAGCCTTCGAAGTAGCTGGGACCACTGGGACCACAGGCATACACCACCATGATTAGCTAATTTTTTAATCTTTTTGTAGAGACAGAGTCTCCCTATGTTGCCCAAGCTGGTCTCCAACTCCTTGGCCTCAAGTGATCCTCCCACCTCACCCTACTAAAGTGCTGGGACTACAGGTGTGAGCCACCACACCTGACTCCATTTCTCATTTTCATTGCCTGCAGAACTTTTACTGTCTCTTGAGACTTTATTCACAGTCACCTCCTCCAGGAAGCCTTCCTTTCCCAACTTCAGGTTAGGCGCTCCTGGGTAGCCCAGGCCCCCTCTTGCAGCACAGGGGCTCTTCACTGATTTGCCTGTCTTCCTTGAGGGCCGCCAGGGTCTCGCTGAACTCAATGGCCCTCGCCCTGCCCCTGCCCGCCACCCCGTCCAGTTCCGGGTGCTCGGGTTTCCTCTCTGGGTGTCTGTGCGCGGCTGGAATGCCAAGGTTCTTCGCCAGCAGTGCCTTTGCTTCCTTTGCGCCTCTGTGGAGGCAGGGCTGGTGCAGGGGTGGAAGGGGTGCCTCTTGGGAGCAGCTGCGTACAACCTGCCAGGGCTCTGGCTCCTGGGCCTGGGTGAACTGCCCAGGTCTCCATCCTTCCCCTCCCCCGGGCACCGGCTCTCACAAGGCGGGGGTGGCTGCCCTGGGAAGAGAGGATCTGCCCTGGAGTCAACTGGATGAGCGCCCAGTCCTGGCTGTGGAGCCTCTCTGTGCCTCAGTTTCCTCATCTGAAAATGGCATCATCAGCCGTCCCCACCCACCTTGCAGGGCTGTGAGGGGACGTGGGCAGGGACAGTGGACAGAAATTGTGTCCCCGGACGGCAGACTCTTCATTCTCTCGCTGGCTTCCTGACATTCCTATCTAGGACAAGTTGTGTTTCAGTTTCCAAAAATTCCGGTACATTTGGTTTTAGGCTTTGTCTCGGGAGACAGCCCCATCTGGTGCTTCCCACGGGTGGGAGCGGGTGCAGAGACGGCTCTTTCTGGAGGGGCTGGTTCCCAGCGGCGGCCCCCTCAAGCGCAGTCCACTCAGTCGTCAGAGGGGAGCCGCTCCCGGGAGGCAAGGGCCGCGGGAAATGGCGGAGGGCTGCCTCTTGTCCCATGCAGGGACGAGGCCTGGCGCGGAGGCTGGGGACGGGAGGGTCCTGCCACTCCCTGGGGGGCGCAAGGTGGGTCACGAACGTCCTGTGGAGCCCCAGCCGCCCCCTACGACTGCCCCGGCCCCGAGAACCCTGGGAAAGCCCAGGCCGCCCTGAGGGCCGCTCGCAAGATGGCGGCCGCCAGTGCAGGCGCTGGGAGAGGGAGGGCGCCGCGGCCGCCACGGTCAGCGCGCAGCCCCGGGGTGCGGGCGCCGGCGGGGGGAGGAGGGAGTTTGGGTGGGTGGGGGGCCGGGAAGAGCCAGCGAGAGGGGCAGGGAGGGGAACAAAAGGTCCCTTTGTGGCGCTGCGGGAGAAGAGGGAGCGCATTACCCAATGCCCAGAAGCCATGTTGGTAACAAGAGAACCATTCTCTGCCTCACTTGGAAAACAACTTGGAGCAGAGAGAGACAGGGAGAGATTTAACCCCATGGGCGCGGGCGCAAGGGGCTCAAGGCCACGGCGGAAGGTGGGGAGGAGCGAGGGCACACTCAACGCCTGGACGACCAATCTCTCAACCCGTCCCATCCTGTGCCCGGGTGGCTCCTGGGTCCAGAGCCCATCATGGCCGCCAGGTCAAACCCCAGCCGCCCTGTGACCCGGCCAGAGCCATGGCTTCCACCTGCCTGGGCCCGGCCTGGTCCTTTCCCCCAAGCTGCTTGCTCCAAGCTCTGGGGCCTGGCCCACCCTAACCTCAAGAGGACGCCCTCTGAATCCTCACATCCTCTGGCTTCAGGTCCCAAAGCTGGTCCTGGTTCCAGGGCCACCAGGGCTCCATTGGCCTCCTGATACTGACAGGGAGCTTGTCCCTTCCATCTTTGCACAGTTTGCCTTTCAGGACGTTTTTCCTAAAATTTAATCACATTTTTTCTTTCCCCACCCCAGCTTTCTCCCCTTCCCCCACCTTCTACCCCCCAACACTGGCTCTCAGGCTCCCAGAGAGGCCATCTGATAATAGGCAAGTTGTTCTAAAAGAAGCTACTGTTCATGAGCACCTACTGTGCTTAGGGTACTTCCCACACGCTGACTTGATGACCCTTGCTACCTCCGGCCAACCTGCATGAAGTGAGCTGCTGTCTCTCTGCTGAGGCTACTTATTCAAAAAGCACCTCACACAGGGCCACACATAGGAGGCACTCCATGAACAAAGGATAGGAAGAGTTGGGAGGCCGAGGTGGGTGGATCACGAGGTCAGGAGATCAAGACTATCCTGGCCAACGTGGTGAAACCTCATCTCTACTAAAAATACAAAAATTAGCCAGGAATGGTGGCACGTGCCTGTAGTCCCAGCTACTCAGGAGGCTGAGGCTGGAGAATCGCGTGAACCCGGGAGGTGGAGGTTGCAGTGAGCTGAGATGGTGCCACTGCACTCCAGCCTGGGCAACAGAGGGAGACTCCGTCTCAAAAAAAAAAAAAAGGAGATAGGAAGAGGCCAGGCATTGGCCAGGAAGTGGCTCACAGCTGCATTCCCAGCACTTTGGGAGACCAAAGCAGAGGACTGCTTGAGGCCAAGAGTTCAAGACCAGCCTGGGCAACATAGCAAGATCCCCATCTCTACAAAAAAAAAAAAAAAATAGCCGAGCATGGTGGTGTGCACCTGTAGTCCCAGCTACTCTAGAGGCTGAGGCGGGAGGATCGCTTGAGCCCAGGAGTTCAAGGCTGCAGTGAGCCAAGATTGCGCCACTGCACTCTGGCCTGGAAGACAGAGTGACACCTTGTCTCAAAAATAACATGACATAACATAACATAACATAACATAACATAAGGTTGCTCATTAGCAGAATAAAAAGGTCAGTCCTTCCTTCCTTCCACAAACACTGATTGAGCAGTGGCCATGTGCCCAGCTCTGGGGCTACAGCAGTGGACATAACAGACCAGCTTACCCTCACGGAGCAGATATTCTCCTCTCTCCTCAGGAAGATGCATAGTATACAAGTAAACCTACAAGCTAACATCAGGCAGCCATGAGTTCCAGAATAAAAAACAAAGCAGGGTAAACGTGAAGAGAGATGGGAGGGGTGTTATGTTAGACATGGTGGTCAGAGAAGACCCCTGCAAGAGTATGACCTTTGACAAAGATCTGAAAGAAGAGAGGAAGGATGTCTGGGGAAAGAATGTTCCAGCCGGTGGCAACAGCACAAAAGGCCTGAGAGGGAATGTGCTGTTGAGTTTAGGAACAGCCAGGAGGCCAGTGTGTGGGAAAAGGAGTCAGACACGTGGGGTTGGAGGGCCCAGCTCTGAACGCTGGGGGAAGGCTAGGCATGAGGGGCCCGTTGGGGCTTTAAGCAGGGGATGGTGTGGTCTGAACTCCATCGCAACAGGACTCTCTGGAGGTCAAGGTCAGAAACTGAGAGACCCACAGTTCTTGGCCGCAGCCCTCCTTACCCCGTCTCCCATCCCTTGCAGCCACTCCTCCCCGGTTGCCCACCCCTCCTAAATGAGATCCAAATCATTCTTTCAGTAAGTGTTTACTGAGCATCTAGTATGTGCTAAGAATGGGCCTGCTCCTCTAGGACAGGTTCCTAAGGAGAGCAGCCTTGCCCATGAGGGCGGTTCACTAATGGGGGCTTCCAGGCCCCTGAAGGGGAAAGTTGCCTGTGGACTTCCTGGTTGCACAGAAGGAAGCCTCTCCTTCGGGGAATTTTTAAAGCTTCTCAAAGGACTCTGAGGACATTCCCTGCCCCACCAGCCTCATGGTGCCGTGACATCAGCAAATGGCCTAGAAAAGCAGGGGCTCGGCTGGGTGCGGTGGCTCACACCTGTAATCCCAGCACTTTGGGAGGCTGAGGCAGGTGGATCACCTGAGGTCAGGGGCTCGAGACCAGCCTGGTCAACATGGCAAAACCCCGTCTCTACTAAAAATACAAAAACTTAGCCAGGTGCAGTGGCAGACGCCTGTAATCCCAGCTACTTGGGAGGCTGAGGCAGGAGAATTGCTTGAACCCGGGAGGCGGAGGTTGCATTGAGCCAAGATCCTGCCACTGCACTCCAGCCTGCGCAACAGATCGAGACTCTGTCTCAAAAAAAAAAAAAAGAAAAGCAGGGGCTCAGTGCCTCACCTCTGACCTCAGGCTGGTTCCTGGCCTCCCAGGGCCTCAGTTTCCTCATCAGTAAAACCACACCCACCCTGGAGCTTTGTGGGTTCATCAAAAGAAGGCAGCTTGCCCTTTGGGGGCAGGAAGGGGGCTCTGAGACGTGAGGCTGCAACTCATGGTCACCCAGCTGGGAAGGGGCAGCACCTCCCACCCGCTCCCGCCAGGGCTTCCCCTCCTCTTCTGCTGTTCCCAGTGGCCCGGCGGGTGCCTCAGTTCAGCCATGGTTATGAAGCAGATGCATATGAAGTGCCTGCGGGTGTCAGGCAGCACCTGGAGAGTGAGGTGGGGCAGTCATGCAGAAAGTGGTGATAGTAGCAGGAGGTTTCAGATGGCAGAGAGGCCGGTGGGCAGGAGAGGGAGGCTGCATGGCCCCGAGGACACGAGCAGGATAGACCGAGGGATTGCAAATGAACAGAAAAGAAACGTGCTCCTGCCAGGCCCCCTGCCCTGGGAAGGGAAGAGAGCGACCCCTGATTCCCACTTGCCCCACTGACTTGCTCTAGACCGTTGGGCAGCAGCCCCTTGGCCTGTTAGGCCTCAGCATCCTCATCTGTCAAATGGGCTTATCCCTCTCGTCCCATAGGATGGTGCTGAGAATCAGGCAAGGTGAGGGGTATGCACACACCACACTGGATGTAAAGGCCTCGGAGGCGCCTGTTGTTAACAGTTAATGGGCTCCAGATGTGCACCATTTACAGAATAACCCACCATGGTGAGTTTGTGCCACAGGCGATGCCACAGAAGGGTGTGAGACCGAGAGAGAGAGACACACACAGGGGGAGAGAGAGAGATGGCTATGGCAGAGAGCAGGGAAGGCTTCCTGGAAGAAGCAAGACCTACACTATGTGTGTTATGGAGGGATGGGCAGGATTTGCAGAGGCCAAGAGGTGTGGGGAGAGCTTAGGTGGAAGGACCAGCACAAGGGAATCTGCTTGGGGAGTGGGGAGGGATGTCAGCCCCCTGGCTAGCAAGGTGGGGTGGGGAGGCTGGGGTGGGATCCTGGAAAGCCCCAGCTCGTCCTAGGCCACGGCCCCAGGTCTCACCTCCCACCACTCCCAGCCCTGGGCCGAAAGCTCCCAACTGGTTTCTCCTCTGGCCTCTGCTCAAGCCCTGCCCCCACCTCCAGTGCGCTCTGTGTCTCTGCTGGCTGCTTCTGACTCATTGTTCCGAGCTGCGCAGGCACAACCCCCTCCAGAAAGCCCAGGCTGACAGGTCTCCCCTGGGATTAGTTCATTCTGTCCCAAGGGGAAGCTGCTATTATTATCCCCATTTTACAGAGGGGGACATTGAGGCTCAGAGAGGGGTCCAGGGCTGCACGGCTGGTGTCAGCGCTGGGATTTCAACTCCAAGTGGCCTGGCTCTCCTTTGAGCTCTTGGCTGCCTCCGCACCCCGCCCCATGCTGGGCACTTCGGTCTCCTTAGAGCTGGTGCAGGAGGTCGCTGGTTTTGCATTATCCCCTCCCCCGCTTCTTGGAGGAGGAAGCTGGAGCCCAGAGAAGGGTTGGGACCTGCCTGCCGCCACGTGGCCAGGAAGTGGCCGAGCAGATTCTGAAGCCAGGAGTGGCTGACCCCACTCCTCTGTGACAGGCCTGGGGAAGCTGCCAGGCCTGGGACGCAGGGGTGCATGGAAGGGAAGAGGCTGTGGCCCGAGGCCCAGTGAGAGCCCAGTGCAGCCCTGGAAGGCGGAAAAGACAACTAGTGGGGATGAGGAGCAGCGTGGACAGGCCCAAGGAGCTGGGGGACAGATGGTGGTGGTGAGGCAGCAAGGCTGAAACGGTGGGAGTAGAGGAAGCAGAAGGGGAGGCGGAAGGAGCTGACAAGGGGAGTCGGGAGGACACCAAGGGGCCATGCCAAGCCCTAGGTTTTGGGGCACTCCTGCCCTGTCCGGGTTCGGCCCCAGCCACTTGACCCCTGGGATGGTGCAGGGAATAGGGGTCAGCGGCGGTCACAACCTCTCTTGACTCCCAGAATCAAAGGGGTTGGGGCCCCAAGTGAGCAGCAAACTTAGAGTCAGCATGGGTCATGAGGAGTCGCCCAGTGCCCTCGTCCACGTCACACCCTCTCCCAGCGAGCACAGGACAGAAGCCTCGAGGCCCTTCCACGGGCACTGTCGTCAGTCAGTGGAGTCACATGGGGGGCAGGCAGCGGGGCCGTGGCGCCTTCCGGTGGCTTCCCCACATCCACCCCTCCCCTCAGGATCCTGCCACCGCTCTTGGAAAACAACTGAGGAAATCAAGTGGAAACACAAATCCGCCACCCAGTCCCTCCCGCTCCGCCGGGGCCAGATCCCATCCCCCAACCCCCACTGCACTGGGGGAGCAGGCTTGGCCTCAGAGGCTGTGCCAGCCCAGCAGGGCTTGCCTTGGCGAGGCTCTGTGGGCACTGGTGATTGGTCCTGGAGTTCCCAGCAGCTGGGCCTGTCTGTCGCCCCATCTGGTCCTACAGAACCAGCCCTACCCCAGAGGGACTGGGTAACCAGGCTTGAACCCCGCTGCAACCTCTAGACTCTGGGATCTGGGGCCAGGGAAATTCCAGCCCTGGCTCTACCAGAGCCTAGCAGGCCGCCCTGGACAAGCGCTTTCTCTCTGTAGGTCTCAAGAGTCCTCATCTGTAAAATGGGAGAGATAAGCCATGCCCCGTCCACCTGAAAAGGCTGGCGAAGAAAGACAGGGCAACTAGGGAGGACAGCTCTGTGCAAAATCTCAAGATTTTGTCCACTTCCTTTTTTTTTTAATTTTCTTTTTTCTTTCTTTTTTTTTTAAGACAGGGTCTCACTCTGGGGCCCAGGCTGGAGTGCGGTATCATGATCACAACTCACTGCAGCCTCAACCTCCTGGGCTCAAAGATGGCTCACAGATGGCTGCTTTGATGTTTACAAGGAGGTGTTGCGTCACAGGTTGGGAGGTCATGAATTATGTCATGCTCCATGTGGGGGACATGAATTATGTCATGCTCCGTGTGGGGGACATGAATTATGGACGGCAGTAAGGGATTCCAGAGGCAGCTCACCAGTGGCCCACGGAGCCCTTCTCAGCTTGGCCTCCCCACCTCCCACCGTGGCCACCCCTCCTGCCCCTGCAGGCCTTCATAACTGCGCATCCAGGCAGCTTCCTTGCTGAAGCACCCTCTCCGCAGAACTCCTGCTCATTCCTCAAGACCCAGCTCGACTGTCTGTCCTCTGTGACACGTCCTGATTCCAGGCAGCATGAGGGGCGTCCGCCACCCCACGTTGGTTCCTACAGCACACTGTGTCAGTGTGGCATCATCCATCCATGTCCCCAATCAGGGTGTGGACAGGGCCTATGCCTCAAGCATCCTGGTTTCCCTGCCCCATGCCCAGTGTTGGGCCTAAGGAATAGCAGAGCTCAGTGGACTATGTGCCTGACTGTGGGCAGAGACCCCGGTCTCTCCTGGGCACACTCAGCCTCGAGGCAGCAGCTCGGCTCCTGACTGATGGATTCAGGGGCAGGTGATGGGTGTGAAGCAGTTTCCCCTGTCAGATACCCGCTGTGCATTTTTGGGAGGACCGTAACAGTGGAACTCCAGAGCTCTCCTGGGAAGATGGCTGTGGTGGAAGGTGAGAGGACACTGGCCAGTTAGAAAATGGATAAAAGCAGGCCAGGTGTGGTGCAGTGGTTCACATCTGTAACCCTGGCACTTTGGGAGGCCAAGGTGAGAGAATTGCTTGAGATCAGGAGTTCAAGACCAGCCTGGGCAACAGAGTGAGACCCTGTCTCTACAAAAAAATTAAAAATTAGCTGGGTGTGGTGGCTTGTGCCTAGGCTTCCAGCTATTTGGAAGGCTGAAGTGGGAGGATCACTTAAGCCCAGGAGGTTGAGGCTGCAGTGAGCCAAGATCGCGCCATTGTACTCCAACCTGGGCCACGGAGCAAGACCCTGTCTCAAAAAAAAAGTAAAAGAAAAAAAAGAAACTGGACAAAATCTCCAGACTTCAGACCAAAACAGAGGCCAAGACAGAGGGGACTAGAATGCTGGGGAGGGGACTACGGATGTGTTTGGAAGGAAAAATTGTCATGGCCGATGACTAGCCATAGGGGATGAAGGGGATGGATGAGTCAAAAATGACTCCGAAGCTTCATGCCTGGGTCACTGGAGAACAGTGGGGCCGTTGATGGGGCAGGGAAGCGGGGAGGGGTTGGTCTGGGGGCAGCATGGTGACGCGGGTTTGAGACATGGACTCACAGCACTTTCAGGCTGGAAGCAACCTTCGGAGGTCACCAGGGTCACACGTGAGGAAGTGGAAGCTGAGTGAGGAGCTGCCACTCAGCCGGGACACCTGTGACATCAGGCGCCTGGGACAGGGTGTTGGTGCTGGTGGGGACCTGGACAGCGGCACAGGGTGTGAAGTCCGTGCCTGCCCAGGTCCTGCACTGGGCTCTGGGGACCTGGTGGTGAATCAGACCCAGTCCCCACACTTAGGGGCTCACTGTTCCATGGAGGAGACAGACATGACTGTAATTACTACCTGGGCTAAGAGGGTGGTGTGGTGAGGACTCAGAGGGCCAAGTCTACCTTGTGGGGGGACGTGGGTAGGAGAAGTAGCCAAGGAACGAGGGCATCCTTGTTGTCAGAAGTAGGCTCCTCCGTGCCAAGAACATCTCATTTAATCCTTGCAACCATCCTGCAGGCTCTGTGGTATTACTGTCCGCATTTTACAGATGAGTTTGAAAAAGATGAAGCAGATTGTCCAGGGCCCTGCAGATGGAATGACACCCAAACTCTCGCTCTTAACCCCTGCGTCTTGGAAGAGGTGTGCTGGAGCTGAGGCCTGACAGAGTAGTAGGAGTTTCCCAAGGGACAAGGAGGGAGGGGGCGACACCGACACTTGCCAAGACCCGTCTTTCCATTGGCAGGGTCTGAAGTGCTGGTGGTCTGTAGCCTGCTTCCTTACCTCTTGCCCAGGGCCTCTCACAGCTCTTCCAGCCCTCGTCCTGTCCCAGGGCCCCTCATTTCACAGACCCTGCCTTTCCCACCCCCTACTGGTGACAGCCGACTGATCTGATGGATTTGTCCAGCAACTGAGCTGGGGGTGGGGTGGGAGAGGGCCTGTTCCTGATCCCCGGGGAACCACTGACCACGCTCCCCAGGCCTTCCCAGCACAACCCTGCCCCCACCCACACCTCCCCACTGCATGACCTCTTCTTATCCCGGGAGTGACCCTGCAAAGCAAGTCATCCCAGAGAAGTGAGGATGTGCCTGAATCACCCAGTGCATAAGCAGCTGAGCTAAGTCTCAGACCCACAGGCCTGGGGTCTCAGACCATGGCGGTCCCCTGGGCTTGGACAAACCACAGAGTACTTTTCTATCCTCGGGCTCCGGTTTGCAGGGCACCATGGGAATGATCGGGGAGAAGGAGGGTTGAGCACTAGCAGTCTTGGGCAAATACAGTTTATAACCCAGGGTGTGGCAGTGCGCTGGAGTCAGCGCACACTGGCTCCCGAGAGCCAACTGTGAAAGTCTCTGGAATCGAAGCCAGTTGATATTACCTTGGAAGCTTTGAGCCTGCCCTGATGGGACTTTTTCCACTATGAAAATTGGCAGTCTACCTCTGTGTCTCCCACCTCCACAAACAGAGCTGGTTGTGAAGCATATTTACCAGCACATGACTGTCCAGAGGGCCCGACTCCTGGCTCCCCAGGGGGCTTGTGGGTTCTCTCAAGCTCCCAGCCCTATCTGGGGATCTTCGGGGAGTCGTTCTTGCTCAAAATCCATTGATATCTCCCACTTGCCACCAATAAAAGTCCAGACTCCTCCCCTGGGTTTTCCATCCCCAGCTTCAGGCCCAGGCAATCTTCCCAGCTGCATCTTAACTGTTCCCTTGCTGCCCCCACGCTTGAGCCAAACAAGAACAGATGATGCTTGTGGAAAAGGCCCTTGCTTCCTTAGTTTCCTGCTGCTGCAACAGCCTCACCTTGGCTCACGCTATTCCCTTTTCCCAAAATGCCTTTCCCCTAACTCTGCCTCTTGAAATCATCTCCAGCCTGCAAGGCTCATTCACAATTGGTGTTCAATCAATGTTTCTTGGCTGAATGGGAGGGAGCGTGGACGAAGGCTCCACAACCAGGACTGACCTGATGGTGCCTTGGTGAAGGCTAAGACCCTGGGAAACCCTGCATCCAATCCTCTGCCTCAGGACAGAGACACCCCAAAATCCCCTGCCTTCCCTAGCTTGCTTGCAGTCTCCCAGATGATGGGGTGTTAATGGAGGACAGACTGGTCACTGCTTCACAGGTAGCAAAAACAGAAACCAACTTGAACCATCCAGGTTACCTGGAAACCAATCCCTTCATTCTGTGGTCAGTCTCAAACTCCTCTGCATCCTTCAAAACCCATCCCAGGTGCTGCCTCCATTGAGAGGTCTTGCCAGTTAGAAGTCCTCCATTACCCCCTTGCCCCTGTGCCCTGCACACACTGATCATTGCACTCATGGCACAGGGTAGTGCTTATCTGTCTGTCCATCACCCCACTAGACCATAGCCAGAGGAGACAGAGCCTTATTTAAGGCTTTATCCTCAGGCTGGTGCCCAACAAGCTTAGGAGGTGCTTGTTGAACTAACTTGAAATGACTCCATCACTGTCAGCCAAGTCATCCTCCACTATCCTTGGGCCTCAGTTTTCCCCTCTGGATAAGCCAGACTTAGACGGGGTCATTTCCAAAGACATTCTGCATCTCCTATTCTGGGATTCTGTGATATGCCCCACTCCTTATCCATCTCTAATCTTCAAGTCTCCTTCCCTAAGCTGCAAGCCTTCCAGTGGGTGACGCCCCTTCCTCGGCTGCCTTCACCAGCACCACCTCACCCTGCAGACCACAGCAGTCTCTCCTCAGACCCCTGAACTCCCTTTTTCAGGGTGTTCTCTTCTCTCAGACTGTGGACTCCTCTGAAACCCTTTCAGAAGCCTCTCCTGCCCACTCCAGGCCTGGCTCACCAGCCAAGTGCACAGTCAGCACCCATAAGTGCCCATCAATGAGCTGTGATGGAGTGGCCGGGGCTTGCAGGGCCTTTGGAGAGCTGGCAGAGTTCCTGTTCAGACAGGCCTGGGAGCTGCCTGCCTATCACAGTGCGGGTGGAGGGTCCCCTAAAGCCCCCAGGACAAACAGCCACATCCCATTCTCTGCCTATTTCACTCAGACCTTCAGAGGGTGTGTGTGCAGGAGCGGGACAGGCTGTTGCTGCTGCCCCTTCCTCCCCATCCCACAGAGGGACACAGTGGCTATGTGGCCGCTGTCCTCTCCCCAATTTCTGCTTTCTTCTCTATCTCCCAAGCACACCCAGAGACATGCACGTGCATACACATAGGCACACACATACACACATTCATGCACACACGTATGCACACACATACATGCACACACGTATGCGCACACACACATGCACACACACGTACGCACACGCACACACACACACGCACACACAGATGCATGCGCAGGCACAGAGGGTCATGAGCCCCCGTATCAGTCACCCTGCACTGACATTTGGAGCACAGGGAGTTGTCCATGTGCCATCCAGGTGTGTTGACCCCAGGGAAGACCATGTGGGGCTGTGAGAAGGGGCTCCCAATCCCTTATCAGTCTTGAAACCCCCCACCCTAAAGCATCGCCGTGCAGCAGGAAAGCAGCCCACGCAGCCTCCAATCCTGGCTCTGTGTCTCTGTCTAAATCACCCAGGTCCCCACTGTTCTCATGTGGTGACCTCCTCCATCTCTAGCGCAGTCTCTCTCTCTCATGCACACAAGGTAGTCAGGGAACACACAGAACAAGCTGCGGGATGTCAAAAGGGGCGGTCAGTGGGCCAGGACATCCCAGAAAGCTCCAGGGAGCAGGGACTTTCGGTGATGCAGATACGATGGCTTACAACCCTGACTGTGGCGCCTCCTTCCCTAAGGGCTAGCTGGATGATCTTTAGCAAAATCCTAACCTCTCTATAGCTCAGTTTTCCTCCCTAGAATACAGTGGCGGGTAACAGCGCCACCTTGTAAGGTGGTTATGATTAAATGCATTTGATGTCCACCACACTGTGGCATGCAGTAAGGGCTCAATAAACATTGGCAGCTGCTGTTATAAGTGTGGAGGGGGTGTCCAGTGTCCTTGCCTATGAGCCCGCACTGTGCTGGGTGCTGGGGAAGACACCGAGGAGTTCATGAGGATGGGGAGGAGCAGACAGGGAGCCGGCTGCTCACAGGCCTGGGGTGGCGGAGGCGGGGGAATGTGTGTGTGCACACGTGCATATGAGCATTTGTTTCTGGGTGTGCTGCAGGAGCAAATGAGGATTGTTGGGGGCCAAGCTCTGATGGAGGAGGATCGGGAGCTGTGACAGGCCCCACATGAGGCCAGATGTGGTCTCAGAATAGCACAGCGAGAGGAGGGAGTTCCGGGCAGAAGGAATGGCCTGGGCAAAGGTTGTGGACAGTGAACTGTGGCCAAGGAGGACATGCTGCGGAAGCCACCAGCTTCAGGACCACCCCCACTGAGCAGAGGACAGAGACCTCCTTGAGCTGCTCTTGACCCCTGCCCCACATGGGTGACACGCCTCCATTTCACGCCTCTACACCTTTGTCCATGCAACCCCTCCCACAGTCACATCCTGTGAGAAGAACACGAACTCAGCGTGCTTTCCTAGAACTACAGGTGCCCCTCACCCAGCATGGGAGCACTCTGAGGCCTGCAGGTAGGAGGAACTCAATAGAGACTAGTTGATGAATGAATGAACGAATGAATGGACCACGTGTATCCCCCATACGCTAACGAGTCACCTGAGGACTGGCGTCATCCCGCACCCTATGCCATCTCGCACTCCACGACACACTGCACAGTCCCCAGGGACAGGGACACACATCCCGCAGGCCATCACCATCCAGTGAGCCTCGCCACCCGGGCCACATGGAAAGCCGCTGTCTCTCCATGCACGCCCCTCCCCGTCCATCCACCCACCCACACACACTTTCCCTCTTGCCTGGGGCAGCTGGGAGGGGGAGCTGGGGCAAGGCAGGGCCAGAGGAGCCTCAGAGGCAGCCGGGGTAGGAGACTGGGGGAGGCTGGGAAAGTCCGGGCTGTCTCTTCTGGGGGGCGGTGGGCGGTGTGGTGGGGCGCTCGCAGGGATGGGGGGAGGGAGGAGGGTCGCCAGCCCAGTACAGCTGCGTCCCCTCCCCAGCAGCCTGCCTGGGCACAGAAAGACCTCTTTGTTCTCCGCCTTTAAAGGGTAAGAGAAACACTTATGCATGGCAAATTAGCCCAAAAATGTATTTCTCTAAAACACCCAATTGTCTCACCAGGCCTGCAGCTGCAGGGAAGTTCCAGGGAGCCGGGGGAGGGGGCGGCTTTGGGGTGACCCTGGGGGACAGAGAGAGGCGGTGGGGAAAGAGGGGCCATCCCGCCTTCCCTCCTCTGCTCTCAGAATCTCACAGTTGCAGATGGGCACAGCTGGGGAGGGCCCTGGGATCATGAAGACCAGCCCCTGGTGTTATAGAGGGGGAAACTGAGACCCAGAGAGATGGTCTGCCTGGTCTCAGGTCACACAGCAGAGTGAGTGCTGGCTGGTGGCAGAGAAAGGGCTGGGTCCTGGGTCTGCTGGCCTCTTTCATCTGTTCTCACTTGTCCATGCTTGGGTCAAGCAAGCCAGCTACCCTGGGCAGGAGGGAAAGAGAGGGAAATTGAGTGTTCTGCTCAGAAGCTGCCTATTCAGGGCTTCAGTGCTCAGGAGGATGGACAAGGCACCAACCAAGCCTCCTCCCCAACCTGGTGCCCGCCTACCAGGCATCTGAAGGCCAGCCTTCTGGGGCAGTGGGGGATCCAGGCAGGGGCACCTGAGGGGAGTCCTCCACCAAAACCTTCTCTGAAGAGCAGGCAGCAGAGTCCGTCTTATTCAGCAAACTGAAACCCAAGTGCACGAGGGGAAGATTCCAGGGCCCTCTGAGGAGCACATTCTCCGGTTGACTTCTAGATTCAGAGTCATTGATTTCAGAGCATCTGTTGAGCGCTCCTGAGTCCATCCCATGTAGAAGACAGGAGGGAGAAGAGACGGTCCCAGCCCTGGGGAGGATGTCAACTTGGTGAAGTGAGTTTCATACATAGGAAACACCATGCTGGCCATGAAAAGTGCCCAAAAGAGGGTGCAGATTGAGTGCCCTGGATCCTGTGTTCAGCTCGGGTGAGACCATCAGCAACCTGGGCTCAGTTTATGCATCTGTACAATGGGGTGATGATATCCACCCAGCAGGACTGTCGGGAGAAGTCAGCGGGAGGAGATGCTGAAAGAGCCTAGGCTGTGGGCCAGTGCGTAGGAGGGTCTCAGCACTGTGTATTCCAGCCCCCAGAGAAGTCTGGAAATGAGAGAGATGGGAGAAGGGCGTGGACAGGCAAACGAGGGGGACGATCAGGGAATTTGTGAATGTTGGGACTGTGAGTGTGAATGTGTGTTTGTGATCGTATCTTTGAGTACGTGTGTGTATATGAATCAGTGTGTGCACATGTGTATCTGTGAGTTGTGGGCATGTGTATGCATGTGTATTGTGATTGTGTATGACTGTGCGTGTGTGTGTGTACGTTGTGATTGTGTGTATAATTGCATGTGTGTACGTGCATGTGTGCTGTGATTGCAAGTGCATCTGTGTGTGTTTGTGTGTTGTGGGAGTACATGAGTGCCTGTGTGTGTGTGTGAGCAAGTGAGTGCACATGTGTCACCGTGAAGGGACCATATTTGGGAACATCTCTTGGGAGGGAGACTGAGCTAAGCCCTGAAATGGTCAAATATATGAACAGGCCAAGCTGCCTAGGGAATGTCCTCTTGAGTGGCTGGAGGGACCAGGACACCAGGAGACAGAAGGGACCTCCAAGAGGCCCGGAAACGCCAAGAAAGGAGAAACCTGCTGTGGGGTGGAGGCCTTGGCTCCACCTGGCTTCCCTGACATTCCAGGCATCCCTGGTGCAAGGTGGCACCAATGGTTGAGCCAGCCCCTGGGGTGAAGCAAGACCCTCCCCTCCACTACTAAGAATCTCCATGACTTCCTCTTCCCTCCGTGGACTCCTCTGCATGGTCCACAGCACCCTGCACGACCCCTCCAGGGTCCTGCCTACACTGTAGGAGCAGGCAGAGTCTCTGAGCCACTCTGCCCAGTCCTCTCCCACTGCCAGCCTCCTTGGTTCCCTGCACTTCGGCCAGACCAAATCACACTCTCAAATCATGCCCTCAGATGCACCACCTTCCCTTGACCCTCCGCACCTGCATGGATTGCACCCCCACCTCCCAGACCTGGTCTGCCTGGGGCATTCTCAGTCAGCACCAAGTGTCCGTCCTTCCCATGTTTGTCCCTGCCCCTGCCCTCCTGCACCCCCATAATGTCTTGTGCCCCCACAAACATCTGTTACAGTCCTCTCAGCATGCTGTAGCTTACAAAACCGTGATCCCTAAGACCGAAAACCAAGGAAAACTTGTCAAAGAATTCTCGCTATAAAAGTCACCAAGAATTGAAAGCAGGGACTCAAACAGATAATGTGACCACACGTATTCATAGCAGCATCATTCGTAATAGCCCAAAGTAGAAACAACCCAAATGTCCATCAATAAATGAATAAACAAAATGTGTTATATCCATATAATTTATTATTCAGCCATAAAAAGAAAATTCTGACACACGCCACAAGATAGATGAAACTTGAAGACATTATGCTAAGTGAAATAAACTAGAAATAAAAGAACAAATATTATATGATTCCATTTTTCTGAGGTCCCCAGAGTAGTCAAAATCATAGAGACAGGGCCAGGCGCTGTGGCTCATGCCTGTAATCCCAGCACTTTGGGAGGCCAAGGTGGATGGATCACCTGAGGTCAGGAGTTCGAGACCAGCCTGACCAACATGGTGAAACCCCCGTCTCTACTAAAAATACAAAAAATTAACCGGGCATGGTGGCAGGCACCTATAATTCCAGCTACTCGGGAGGCTGAGGCAGGAGAATTGCTGGAACCCAGGAGGAGGAGGTTGCAGTGAGCTGAGATCATGCCATTGCACTCCAGCCTGGGCAACGCAGTGAGAATCCGTATCAAAAAAAAAAAAAAAAAAAATTAGCCAGGCGTGGTGGTGCGCACCTGTAATCCCAGCTTCTCGGGAGGCTGAGGCAGGGGAATCACTTGAACCCGGGAGGCAGAGGTTGCAGTGAGCCAAGATCGTGCCACTGCACTCCAGACTGGGTGACAGAGCCAGACTCCATCCCAAAAAGAAAAAAAAGCAAAAATCATAGAGACAGAAGAATGGGGATCTCCAGGGGCTGGAGCTAAGGGAGTTAGTGTTTAATGGGCATACAGTTTCAGTTCGGGAAGATGAAAAAGTTCTGTGGATGGATAGTGGTAATGGATGCACCACAATATGAATGCACCTAGTGCCACGAAACTGTACACTCAATAATATAGTTAATATGGGAAATTTTAGGCTACATATATTTTACCACACACACAAACTTATTGGAAAAAAAAAAGGCACGAGTCCCTTACAGTTTGATGAGGAAGACCTTTTCATAGATTTTAAGAAACAGTTTTCAGGCCTTGTAGCCTGTTGATAACAGAAGACAAGCAGACATCACTGACGTCCTTCAAGCAGATGCTGGATCTCTTCTCCCCAGTGTCCCAGCGCCACGTGTAGGTGAGATGGGTGCACAGTGACGTGTGCTGATAAACAAATGCCTTCTATGACTAGGTCCCCTGCCAGACCCCACTGCTGTCTGGGAAAACCACTCTGGAGGCACCCTCCTCCCAGTCCCTATCACAGCCCAGGAGTCTTCAGAGACGGCTGGGACACCCCAAGGGGAACACAAAATAACCCAGTGGAGCACAGAAGGAGAATCTCAATGCTTATTTCTGTTTCTTTGTTTGTTTTTTTGTCTGTTTGTTTCTTCAGAGACAGAGTCTTGTTCTTGTCGCCCAGGCTGGAGTGCAATGGCACGATCTTGGCTCACTGCAACCTCCGCACCCTGGGTTCAAGCGATCCCCCTGCCTCAGCCTCCCGAGTAGCTGGGATTACAGGTGCCCACCATGCCCGGCTAATTTCTTGTATTTTTAGTAGAGACAGGGTTTCGCTATGTTGGCCAGGCTGGTCTTGAACTCCTGGCCTCAAGTGATTCTCCTGCCTCAGCCTCCCAAAGTGCTGGGATTACAGGCATGAGCCACCTCATCTGGCCCACTTATTTCTTTTTTTATTTTTACTCTCATTCTTTTAAAACTTCTACTTTGTGCATGTTGAGCATAGTAAAACATGTATATAACTTAGAAATAAATAAACAGATAATGCCTTGAGATCTTACTTAGGAACTAAATAGATTCTTTTCTGTCTTTCTTTCTTTTTTTTTTTTTTTTTTTTGAGACAGCGTTTCACTCTTGTTGCCCAGGCTGGAGTGCAGTGACGCAATCTCGGGTCACTGCAACCTCTGCCTCCTGGGTTCAAGCAATTCTCCCACCTCAGCCTTCTGAGCACCTGGGATTACAGGCATGTGGCACCACACCCAGCTAATTTTGTATTTTTAGTAGAGACAGGGTTTCACCATGTTGGTCAGGCTGGTCTCGAACTCCTGACCTCAGGTGATCCGCCCGCCTCGGCCTCCCAAAGTTCTGGGATTACAGGTGTGAGCCACCATGCCCAGCCAGATTCTTAGAAATTATGTGAGATATACTCCACTATCCAAAACTCAGGACCCAAATATATTTAATAATGGCTTCAATACTCAAATGCATCTGATTCATACTATCCAAACTCAGGAGGCAAATGAATTTTTTTTTTTTTTTTGAGACAGTATCCCTCTGTCACCCAGGCTGGAGTGCAGTGGCACGATCTCAGCTCAATGCAACCTCCACATCCCGGGTTCAAGTGATCCTCCTGCCTCAGCCTCCTGAGTAGCTGGGATTACAGGCGTCCACCACCAAGCCTGGCTAATTTTTGTATTTTTAGTAGAGATGGGGTTTCACCATGTTGGCCAGGCTGATCTCGAATGCCTGACCTCAAGTGATCTGCCCGCCTTGGGCCCCAAAGTACTGGGATTACAGACGTGAGCTACTGCGCCCGGCCCCAAATAGATTTTTCAAATGAGGAATATCTGTCCATATTCTGGGACTCTGTGCCCCACATTTTTACTGAGAAGGACGCATAATCAACAAGGTTGGCCAGGTGCAGTGGCTCACGCCTGTAATCCCGGTACTTTGGGAGGCTGAGGCGTGAGGATCACTTAAGCCCAGGAGTTTGAGACCACCCTGGCCAACATGGTGAAACCCCATCTCTATTAAAAATATAAAAAGTAACTGGGCATGGTGGCGCGTGCCTGTAATCCCAGCTACTTGAGAGGCTAAGGTGAGAGCATCACCTGAGCCTGGGAGGTCGAGGCTGCAGAGAGCCATGATCGCGTCACTGTACTCCAACCTGGGCTCAAAAAAGAAAAAGGTCAGGGACAGCTGCTTAGATCATTGGAGTACTGAAGTCTTGTGGCCTCCTTTAACAGATGGGAGAAATTAGATTCTGTCATTCTCACTTCACCCCCAAGAGACAGATGCTATTACCCACCAGAGTTTTTCTTATCAAACCACAAGGAAGAGCTTGGCAAAGGCAGCCCCATGGCCAAGTTCCCTCTCTACCAGCAAATTCTGGGCTACCCTCACCAACCTCAACACATACGCACCGTCCCTGGCCAATTCCTCCTCACCTATAAGCCTTGGTTCAAGGTCAGCAACTCCAGGAAGCCTTTCCTGGTGCCTTCCCCAGCCAGGCACTCCCTCAGCCTGGGCCTTCCCTTGCTGGCTGTCTTCCCCTCAGAAGCAGTGTGCGCCCCAGGAAAGGTCCACGTGGGACTCTCCTCTGTGCCCTGGATGCTTTGCTGAGGGCCTGGTACACAGTAGAGGCCCAGCCAGTGGCCATGAGCAAAGGGACAGGAGTAACCGCAAAAGAGCCTCACACCAGGCAGCACACACAAGTGTGGGACTGGGAGGCAGCTCAGATCCCTCCTAGCCCTAATACCCAATCATGACCCTGATTGCAAGTAAGTGAATGTGCAGCTGACCCTGGATGGTTACAGCACAGAAGAACCAAGAAAACCATGGCAACGAGAGGGGGTGGAGGTGGAGGGGAAAAGGTGGCAGGAAACCTTCTGATCCCACCCGACTTCTTTGTGTTTTGGTGTTTTTTTTTTAGACAGTCTCACTCTATTGCCCAGGCTAGAGTGCAGTGGCATGATTATAGCTCACTGCAGTCTTGATCCCCTGGGCTCAAGCAAGCCTCCCACCTCAGCCTCCCAAGTAGCTGGGACTACAGGTGTGCATCACCACACTTAGCTAAATTTTCTTTTAATTTTTAGTAGAGGCCGGGCATGGTGGCTTATGCCTGTAATCCCAGCACTTTGGGAGGCCGAGGCCGGCAGGACCAGGAGTTTGAGACCAGCCTGGCCAATGTGGTGAAACGCCGTCCCTACTAAAAATACAAAAAAAAAAAAAAAAAAATTAGCCAGGTGTGGTGGTGCACACCTGTAATCCCAGCTACTCAGGAAGCTGAAGGAGGAGAATTGCTTGAATCCGGGAGGAGGAGGTTGCAGTGAGCCAAGGTTGCACCACTGCTCTCCAGCCTGAGAGACAATATGAGACTCCATCTAAAAAAATTTTTTTTAAATATGTATATATATGTGTATATATATATGTATGTGTGTGTGTGTGTGTGTGTGTGTGTGTATATATGTGTGTGTGTATTTAGCAGAGACAAGGTCTCGCTGTGTTGCCCAGGCTGATCTCGAACTCCTGGACTCAAGCAATCCTCCCACCTCAGCCTTCCAAAGTGCCGGGATTATAGGTATGAGCCACCACGGCCGGCCCACCTGGACCTGGACTTCTGTTTTATTTTTGTTTTGTTTTTTCTTTTTTTTTTAGACAGAGTTTTGCTCTTGTTGCCCAGGCTGGAGTGCAATAGCACGATCTCGGCTCACCGCAACCTCTGCCTCCCGGGTTCAAGTGATTCTTCTGCCTCAGCCTCCCGAGTAGCTGGGATTACAGGCATGCGCCACCAAGCCCCACTAATTTTGTATTTTTAGTAGAGATGGGGTTTCACCATGTTGGTCAGGCTGGTCTCGAACTCCTAACCTCAGGTGATCCACCTGCCTCCATCTCCCAAAGTGCTGGGAGAGTACAGGCGTAAGCCACCATGCCCAGCCCCACTAGACTTCTTAAGAGGCCAGGGAAGACTTGGACTGCTGTGGGCCCCGCCCACGTGAGGAGGGAATGCCACCTTCTTCCAGACAACGGCCTGATTTTCCTGGTGCCCCCCCACCATGTCCGCCCTCCCTCTCTCTGCCTTGGGCAGATCTATTTCCTGGGCAGATTCCTGTGAACCGGGCCATTTTCAGGGCGTGCTTGGGGGATCAGGGAGGGTAGGTGTGATCCACGGGGTCATGACCACATCTGTCACCTGAGGGGTTCACTCCCCAACCACCCCCAAGGAGGTCCTTGTGAGGCCACGGACTGCTCCAGGGCGGGCTGCTCCTGGAGTGTCTCCAGCTGCTGGGCAGTAGTCACGGGCTCTCAGCTGATGGTTGCCCAGGGCACAGATGCCAGTCATGTGGGGATGGCCGGGACCCTTGGGGAATGTCAAGCCCGGGGGCTGAAGAAGCGGCACCAGCAGCTTAGGAATGGGGGATGTGGAGGGTGTCATCTTACCCCTACTCTGACCCCGCCCACAGCCACACTGTGCCCCAAACATGTGTCAAGTCCCCATCACTCCAACACAGACACCCACACACATGCACACCTTCCCAGTCCACCGACACACAGCCACGTGCACAGGGAAAGGCCCAGGTGCCCCCACACCTCCTTCTCTCTTGGTCCAACCTCTTCCACCCCCTCCCTCCACGGCTCACTCTTCTCCACATTAGCCATGTTTCCCAGCCCCAAAGCATCCCCAGGATCTTCTGGAAATCCTGAGGCCAATGGCCTGGTTCTCCCTGGAGACGGGGGGATTTCATGTGCCCGAGCCATCCTGGCCCTCCAGAGGCCAATCTCTTCCCTGAATCTGACCCCAGCCTCCCCAGCTCTCCCGCACCACACACTGGCCTCCTCCCATGGGCTGCCTGGAGAGAGGACACCCTCCTGCATCTGGCCTCATCTCCCCACTGCTGAACCTACCAGCACATCCTGGTGCTGCCTGCTCTGGTGATAACTTCCAGAGACTGGGGTCTACCATAGAAAACTTTGGTGGACTCTCAGCAGGGAGAAGATGCAAAAACTGCACATTCAGGAGTCAGCCCAGCCTGGGCCACCTCACAGTCAAAACACAGCCTCAGACGGAGTCCTGACCCCAGCCCAGCCCCAGATGGAGCCATGACACTAGTTAGAGATTGTCCATCAGAATTCGGTGATAGCCTGAGGCCTTGACCCCACCCTAAGCCTGAGGCCTGACCCTGACCCTGACCCCTCCTTCAGCTCGATTCTAAATCTAAAATGACACTTATGAGCCTTGATCTTGGTCACAAACTGGACCCTGATCCTGAAACCAAAAATGAATATTTACTCTGCAGACCCCAGAGTGAACCATTATCCTAAGTCCAGAATGAACGCTTACCCTATCTCTGACTCTGTCTATAAACTGAGCCCTGTTCCAAATCCTACATAGCCCTGATCCTAACCCTACACCGAACCCTTAACCTGGCTCAAGCCTAAGCCCTGATCTTGACTTCAGACTGAGCCTTCGCCCTCTCCCAGAATGAACGAAAGTTCACAGATGAGCCCTGGTTTCGATCACAGCCTGAGCCCTTGCCCTGGCTATAGCCTGAGTCCCCACTCTAAGCCAATCCTCTCAGCAAACTCTGCCCTCCGTCATATAAGGGATGGTCCCCACTGGTTTCCCAGGACAGAAATTCCTAGCTGAAGCCCAGGAGGATCTGGATAACGTTCCACCTTATGGCCACGTTATAGGGCCCACATTATAGCCTCTGTTATGTGGCAGGAGGGCAGGGACAATCATGCCCATTTTACAAGTGAGGAAACCAATTCTCAGGGAGGCTTAACTTGTTCCATATGGTTCCAATGAGTAGAACTGGAACCAAAGGGTAGAAGCTGCAGGGAGACAGAGTTCAGAAAGAACTTCCCAAACGCCTGGGCTGGGCAAGGACAGAGCAAGCCATGTGAGGAGTGAGCTCCATGTCACTGGAGCTGTGCCAGCGGGGGCGGGTGACTTCTTGGCTGGTGCTACAGAGAGACCTACAGGAAGTTGCAGGGAGAGGCCACAGCCTCAGAGGGCCCCTCCAGCCCTGAGATGCTGACGGGACTGCATGACCCATTCAGGTGCTCTGAGCTCTTCCCTACAACCTGGACATAGCCCTAGATACAGCCCAGACTGCCAGATCTGGAAGGACCCTACAGCCCATTACCTGAAGAGGGAGACACCCACAGGCCCAGAGATGGCGAACAACTTGGGAGCCCTTGGCAGAACCAGGTGGTACCAGGGCCCACCTTCCCCTACTGAGGTTCTTTTTCAGCTCCTGCCCCCGCATCTGGACCAGGCCCAGCTGGGAGACAGACCCCCAAGAGCCAAGCTGACATTGAGCATGATCACTCTGGGGGCAGTTCAGGGTTTTCTGTCCTAGTGTGAGCCCCCTATTCCACCCGAGGCTCAGACGCACAGACCCAGGACTAGGAAGGGCACGTCATCATTTCCAAAACCCCCAGAGGAGCCTTTCTTCCCCAGCACACCAGTTTTGCAGGCTTTAGGCACCCAGACCTAGAGAGGCTGCCTTGGGTGGCACAGCAAGCCCAGGGCACATGAGGATGCAGACCCCAGACCCTGGCACGTGCCCCGCTCAGGCACGGCCCCACAGCTGCCTCAGGAGGGCTGGAGAGTGGTGGGGGGACCTGGTGCCAGGCAGCAGAGGCTGGGGTGGGGGGCTGGCTGGCCCCTTGCGCTGCCCCCCGGCACCCCGGCCTGGCTCCATCTCTCCCGGCCGCCCAGCTGCCGGCACATCCGCCCAGGCCCAGACATCAATCCACACCAGGCCCTTGCTCTGCTCTTTCTTTTCTGCCCTCCTCTTCCCTCCCCAGCTTGTATCTTTTTTTTTTTCCTTCTCTCTCTCTCTCTATTCCAACATGTCATTACAGTAGAAACAAAAAGCGCGGGGACAATGCGGGCATTGACGGCGGCCCCCTCCCGCCCCCTCCCCCCGCGGTGCGTGCCAGCACTCTTTCCACCCGCCCAGGGCTGGAACCGCTGCCAAAGGAGCCCTGCTCATAAACAAGAGGAACCAGATAAACCAGGAACACAATAGAGGGATTTGTTGCACTTAGAATGGTGGGAACAATGTCAACGTCGCGCGCAGCTGCTTCTAAGCCCCCACCCCACCAAGTCCTGCCAAGCAGCCCCCTCGCCCCTAAGCCCCTCTGATTTATGAAAGGTCAGAGGGCATCATGGCTAAAGGGCCCCTTCCTCACATCCCTCGTTAACCCTTCGGACACAATGGTCCCTTCTCTGGGAGGTGGCGGATGGGGGCGTGTGTCAAGCGCAGCACTTCCTGGAGCATCCCAGGGACGGCTGGTGGAGGTACAGAGGGAGGAGCAGGCTCCCAAATGCCTTTGGGCCGGGGCTTTGTCCAGAGTAATGCCTCATTGGAGGAGGCCTTCTGAAATGACCCCCAAGGGTGTGGTCAGAGCCCACTTTGGGTCTACATGATGATGACCCCAGGCTTTGGCCCAGCTGTGCCTTTCAGGGCAAAACAGATTCGCTGATGCCCCAGTGGGTGCTGAGTCCCTGGCCAGACGCAGGGGGTGTAAGGCTGAGCAAGACATAACCCCTAATGTGAAGGGAACATAGAGGATGAGTATGTAGGAGCCTAGGGCAGTGGGCCTGACACTGCTGGTGTGGGCTAGAGAGTAGGGAAGACCATCGGGGGAGAGTTCCAGGAGGGGTGGATGCTTGAGCAGAGGAGGCCACACAAGCAAAAGCACAATGGGCAGTACCAGCAGAGGCCGAGACTCAGATGCACCCCCACCGCCACTTATGAGACCTGGGGTCCTTTCCCACTGCTCCATCAGTAAAATGAGGATAATAATAATACCTATCTCACAGAAACTTGGGAAGTTAAGTAAACAAACAAAAATAAGGTACCTAGAACACAGCGTGGCACATGGTTAAGGTTAGACAGGTGTGGCTGCTGTTGGTGGTGGTGTTGTTGCTATCATGGATTCTCATAACTCCCCTGTCTTTCTATCATGGCCCCCACAGAGGGGGCAGCTGAGGCTGGGACACCTCTCAGGTCACATAGCTGCATTTACAGAGCCGGGATTCCAACCCAGGGCTCCTAACTCCAAATCCAGGAATCTTTCCTGCCTATTCAACTACTTTGGATGGGGGACCCAAAAGCAGAAATCTGGGATTGAGGGAGAGAGGAGTGCTCAAGGAGCTATTCCAGAGTTGATCCCAAAACAGGTCTCAGCCTGTCTTCCTTCCCCCAGATCACATCGAGTCCAGTTAGTTCCTTCAGGTTCAAGCTCAAACTAGACGAAGGAAGACACATGGGAAAGTCTCCTGTTCACCCACCTCTCACCTCTGCCAAGCAGGGGCTCCTGACAACACCCTGAGCCTGTCTGCTCCCCACAAACCATCCCCACCACCTCAGCTGGAGCCTCAGGCCCCTTCCATGGGCACCAACTCTTTCTCCAATAGAAGTTTGACTTTCATAGTAATCACTAACACTCCAGTGCTTGAGGAAATCCTGTCAGCTCTACCTTCAAAGCACACCAAGAATATCCAATCTCACTTCTGTTCAACACTGTATTAGAAGTCCTAGCCAGAGGCCGGGTGCGGTGGCTCATGCCTGTAATCCTAGCACTTTGGGAGGCTGAGGCGGGTGGATCTCAAGGTCAGGAGTTTGAGACCAGCCTGATCAACATGGTGAAACCTCGTCTCTATTAAAAATACAAAAATTAGCCGGGCGTGGTGGCGGACACCTGTAATCCCAGCTACTTGGGAAGCTGAGGTGGGAGAATGGCGTGAACCCAGGAGGCAGAGCTTGCAGTTAGCCAAGATCGCGCCACTGCACTCCAGCCTGGGCGACAGAGCAAGACTCCATCTCAAAAAAAAAAAAAAAAAAATACAAAAATACAAATACAGGTGTGAGCCAGGCCCAGTGGCTCACACCTGTAACCCCAGCACTTTGGGAGGCCGAGGCAGATAGATCACGAGGTCAAGAGATTGAGACCATCCTGGCCAACATGGTGAAACCCCATCTCCAATAAAAATACAAAAATTAGCTGGGCATGGTCCTGTAGTCCCAGCTACTTGGGAGGCTGAGGCAGAAGAATCACTTGAACCCGGGAGGCAGTGGTTACAGTGAGCCGAGATCGTGCCACACTGAGTCTCCGTCTCAAAAAAAAAAAAAAATTAGCCGGGCGTGGTGGTGGGCGCCTGTAATCCCAGCTACTCAGGAGACTGAGGCAGGATAATCACTTGAACCCAGGAGGCAGAAGTTGTGATGAGCCGAGATAGCACCACTGCACTCCAGCCTGGGCAAAAAGAGGGAGACTCTGTCTCAAAAAAAAAAAAATAAAAAAAATAAGTCCTAGCCAGAGCAATAAGGCAAGAAAATGAAATAAAAGGCATACAGAGTGGAAAGGAAGAAGCAATACTGTCTTTATTCACAAACAACATAATCATCTATATAGAAAATCCTAAGTAATCTACAAAACATCTATTATACATGAGTTTAGCAAGGTTGCAAGATAGAAGGTGAATACAAGTCAATTATATTTCTTTTTTCTTTTTTTTTTTTTTTTTTTGAGACAGAGTTTCACTCTTGTTGCCCAGGCTGGAGTGCAATGGCGTGATATCTGCCCACAGCAACCTCCACCTCCCAGGTTCAAGCCATTCTCCAGCCTCAGCCTCCCGAGTAGCTGGGATTACAGGCATGCGCCATCATGCCCGGCTAATTTTGTATTTTTAGTAGAGACGGGGTTTCTCCATGTTGGTCAAGCTGGTCTTGAACTCCCAACCTCAGGTGATCCGCCCGCCTCAGCCTCCCAAAGTGCTGGGATTACAGGCGTAAGCCACCGCGCCTGGCCACAAGTCAATTATATTTCTATATGCAAGCAACAAACAACTAGAAATTACTTTTTAAAATATTTAAAACCACATCACAAAACATGAAATTTTTAGGGATAACTTGGGGATAAATTTGTATTATAAATATGTCAGAATGAAACAGAAGAATGTGGAGAGAGAATGAGGTGACCTAAATAACTTTGTGTAATGGTGTTTTTACTAGATACTGTACAGCTAAAGACAAAAAGAACTATACACAAACACTGTATGCTAGCTAGTAAATTTGTTTTTGACAAGGGTATAAGTTAGGAATTCTGAGACCATTTTACATGTACACAGAGTTTGAACAGATAGGTAAATATGCTATAGACAATGATAGCAAGATTTCTCTCTGCTTAAGAAAGAAGTCACAACTGACCGGGCGTAGTGGCTCACGCCTGTGATCCCAGCACTCTGGGAGGCCAAGGTGGGTGGATCACCTGAGGTCAGGAGTTCGAGATCAGCCTGGCCAACATGATGAAACCCCGCCTCTACTAAAAATACAAAAATTAGCCAGGCATGGTGGCATGTGCCTGTAATCCCAGCTACTCAGGAAGCTGAGGCAGTAGAATCACTTGAAACCGGGAGGCAGAGGTTGCAGTGAACCAAGATCATGCCACTGCACTCCAGCCTGGACGACAGTGAGAATCTATATGAAAAAAAGAAAAAGAAAGAAGAAAGAAAAGAAAGGAAGGGAAGGAAGGGAAGGAAGGGAAGGAAGGGAAGGAAGGGAAGGAAGGGAAGGAAGTCATAACTAAGCAATGAGGGAGTGCTAGAATAAGTTCTGTGGGGCAGGAGGTGCAGCTTCATTTCCATCTCCTTGAGTGAGAACTGGACTTAGTGACTCACTTCTGATGGACAGAATATGAAGACAGCTGTTTTTACAGTGGAGCAGACACCATCTTAACTCAGAGGTCTGGCTGACATCACCATGAATAAGACATATCAATATCATGTACGCCCTGCAATGACGTGATGATAGGGCAATCACCTCTGTGGTGTTCTTCCCCAAAATCCACACCCTCATTTGAAAAAACACCAGAAAAAAACAAGTTGAGGGACATGGTACAAAATGCCTGACTTGTACGCTTCAAAAATGTCAAGGTCATGAAACACAGGAAGGAGAATAGAGAAACTGTCAACAGTTAGGGGGAGACCTGGGAGATATGGTGAGTAAACGTAACGTGGGATTCCGGCTTGGATCCTGGAACAACGACAACAACAACAACAACGACATTAATGGGAAAACTGAGGAAATCTGAATAAAGACTGTACTTCTGTTATAGTATTTTACCAATGTTAATTTCTCAGTAAGTGTATCATAGTTATGTAAAATCTTAACATAGAGGAAGCTGGGTAAAGGATATACGGGAATTTTTTGTACTGCCTTGGCAACGCTTCTGTAAATCTAAAATTATTTCAAACTAAAAAGTAAAAACAGGCCAGGTGCGGTGGCTTACACCTGTAGACCCAGCACTTTGGGAGGCCAAGGCAGGAGGATCACTTGAGGCCAGGAGTTCGAGACCAGCCTGGCCAATATGGCAAAACCCTCTCTCTACTAAAAATACAAAAATTAGCTGGGCATGGTGGTGGGTATCTGTAATACGAGCTACTGGGGAGGCTGAGGCACAAGAATCGCTTGAACCCAGGAGGTGGAGGTTGCAGTGAGCCAACATTGTGCCACTGCACTCCAGCCTAGGCGACAGAGCAAGACTCTGTCTCAAAAAAAAAAAAAAAAAGTATAAAAATATAAAATACTTAGGGATAAATTTAACAAAATATGTGAAGACCTCTACATGAAACTTATAAAATATTACTGATTGCTTGGTGCTTTATTATGCTGAAAAAAGAAATAAAATTTTAAATAAATAAATGTTGCTGAAAGAAATTAAGGAAGACATAACTAAATGCAGAGCTATGCCACATTCATGGATCAAAAAAACTAAACATTGCTGAGATATCAATTCTCCCCACATTGTCCTATAGATTTAATTCAATCCCAGTAAAGAAAAAAAAAAATGCCAGCAAGCTTTTTTTGAAGAAATTAACAAGCTGATTTTGAAATTTATATGGAAACACAAAGGATCCAGACTAGTACAGGAATTTTGAAAAGAAGAACAGAATTGGAGGACTTGTACTACTTGATCTCAAGATTTACAAGCCTATAATAATCAAGTCAATGTAGCATTGACATAAAGGCATACATCAGTGGAAAAATAGAAAGCCCAAGAATAGACCCACACATGTGGTCAATTGATTTTCAACTAAGGTGTAAGAGACAAGTCAATAGGGAAAGAACAGTCTTTTCAATAAATAGCACTCAAACAATTGAATAAGCAAGTGTAAAAAAAAAAAAAAAGAACCATAACCTTTATCTGACAACATATTTTTAAAAATTAATTCGAAACAGATCACAAGGCTGGGTGCCGTGGCTCACACCTGTAATCCTAGCACTTTGGGAGGCCAAAGCAGGTGGATTACTTGATCCCAGGAGTTCAAGACCAGCCTGGGCAATATGGCAAAACCTTGCCTCTACAAAAAAAAAATACAAAAATTAGCTAGGCATGGTGCGAATGCCTATAGTCCCAGCTACTCGGGAGGCTGAGGTGGGAGGATCACTTGAGCCTGGGAGATGGAGGCTGTAGTGAGCTGTGATCATTCCACTGCACTCCAGCCTGAGTAACAAAACAAGACCCTGTCTCAAAAAGAAAGAAACAGATCATAGCCCCAAATGTTAAATATAAAACTATAAAACTTTTAGAAGAAAATATAGGAGATAGAATTTGGGAACTTAGGCAAAGATTTCCTAGATACGACATGAAATGCACAACTCATAAAAGAAAACAATTGATAACTTATACTTCCTCAAAATTCAAAACTTTCGCTCTTCAAAAGACACCATTAAGGCTGGGTGCAGTGGCTCACGCCTGTTATCCCAGCACTTTGGGAGGCCAAGACAGGCGGATCACCTGAAGTCAGGAGTTCGAGACCAGCCTGGCCTGCATGGCGAAACCCCGTCTCTAATAAAAATACAAAAATTAGCTGGTCGTGGTGGGGTGCTCCTGTAATTCCAGCTGCTTGGGAGGCTGAGGCAGGAGAATTGCTTGAACCTGGGAGGCGGAGGTTGCAGTGAGCCGAGATCGCGCCACTGCACTCCAGCCTGGGTGACACAGCAAGACTCCCTCTCAAAGCAAAAAAAAAAAAAAAAAAAAAAAAAAACACAAGGAATTATTACTACATATTTATTACATATACATATTTATTAGAATGGCTAAAATTTTAAAAACTGATCAGACTAGGTGTTGTTCAGGGTGAAGGAACTGGAACTCTGAAACCTCGCTGCTGGAAATGTGAAATGGTACAGCTAATTTGGAAAACAGTTTGATCCTTTCTCTCTCTCTCTCTGTCTCTCTCTCTCTCCTCTCTTTCTTTTCCTTTATTTTTTTTTTGACAAGGCCTTGCTCAGTTGCCCAGGCTGGAGTGCAGTGCTGCAATCATAGCTCACTGCAACCTCAAACTCCTGCGTTCAATCAATCCTCCCACCTCAGCCTCCCGAGTAGCTGGGACTACAGGTGTGCACTGCAATATCTAGTTAATATTTTTACTTTTAATAGAGATGGAGTCTTGCTATGTTGTCCAGGCTGGCCTTGAACTTCTGGATCCAAGTAATCCTCTCACCTCAGCCTCTCAAAGTGCTGGGATTACAGGCATAAGCCACCACGCCCAGACTTGATCATTTCTTTAAAAGTTAAATATACATACCTCATGACCCAGACATTCCACTCATGGCTATTTATCTACAAGAAATGAAAGCATATGTCCACACAACTTGTACATGAATGTTCATAGGAGCTTTATTTGTAATAGCCCAAATCTGGAAACAACCCAAATGTCTATCAACAGGTGAAGGGATAAACAAATTATGGTCTAGCCATACAATGACATATTCTTCTGTAATAAAAAGGATAAACTACAGATACACACAACAACATGGATAAATCTCAAAACAATTATGCTGAGTGACAGAAGCCAGACCACACACAAAAACGAGTACCTTCTGTATGATTCCATTTAGATAAAATTCTAGAAAATACAGATTAATCTACAGTGACTGCACGTGGTTGCCTAGGGAGAGGGTGGGGTGAAGGGAGGGATGACAAAGGGGCAAGAGGAAAGTTTGGGGACGGTAGATGTACTTGTTTACTTGATTGTGGTGATAGAGTTTCATGTGTGATGCATACATGTGTCAAAACTCATCCAAGTGCACCTTTTCAATATGTGCAGTTTATTGTATGTCAACTGTACCTAAGAGAAGCTGTCAAAAACGTAATTTTAAAAAAGGAAAACCAAACCCAACCAGGAAACTGTGTACTTCTCACCACTGCCACTGTGGCCTGCCAGGCCACCCCCAGCTCCCTGGCCCCCGCCATTGCCTCTCCTCTGAAATACCTCAGGGGCCTCCTTCCTGGCCTCCCAGCTTCTGCTTTGACCCCCTCAGGCCATTCTCAACAGAGTAGACAGCAATCCTGTGAACACAGAGATCAGGGCACATCTCTGCTCTGCTGAAACCCTCGCAGCCCCACTGCCCTTGGAGTACGAGCCCATGTCGCCACAGGGACCATCTGGTGGTCCCTCGAATCTCTTCCTCTCTGTCCCCCTCGCTCATTCTGTCCCAGCTGCACTGGCCTCCTGGCTGTCCTCAGAACGCTCCGGCCACGCTCCCACCTGGAGCCTCTGCACGGTTGTTCCTTCTGTCTGGAATGTTCTTCCCCAGATACCCAAATGTCCAACTGCCTGTGCAACTTCAGGTCTTCATGCATATGCCACCTTCTCAGAGGGGCCTGCCCCTCCATCACTGTCCCCTCTACTCCTGACACCCCTTTCCCTGCTCCACTTGCCCACATATCATACTATGTAAAATTAATGCACTGCTTTTTTTCTTTTCTTTCTTTTTTTTTTTTTTTGAGACAGCATCTCACTCTGTCACCCAGGCTGGAGTGCAGTGGTGCAATCTCGGCTCACTGCAACCTCTGCCTCCTGGGTTCAAGCGATTCTCCCACCTCAACCTCCCTAGTAGCTGGGATTACAGGCGCAAGCCTGGCTAATTTTTTGTAGAAGAGACGGGATCTCGCCATGTGGCCAGCCTGGTCTCGAACTCCTGACCTCAGGTGACCCACCCGCCTCGGCCTCCCAAAGTGCTGGGAGTACAGGCCTGAGCCACCGCGCCTGGCTTTTTTAATGTTTTGTTGTTGTTGTTGTTTGTTGGTTTTTTTTTTTGAGACAGAGTCTCTCTCTGTCACCTAGGCTGGAGTGCAGTGGCATGATCTCGGCTCACTGCAACCTCCACCTCCCAGGTTCAAGCGATTCTCCTGCCTCCGCCTCCCTAGTAGCTGGGATTATAGGCGTGCACCACCACGCCCAGCTAATTTTTTGTAGTAGAGACCGGGTCTTACCATGTTGACCAGCCTGGTCTTGAACTCTTGACCTCAGATGATCCGCCCACCTGGGGCTCTCAAAGTGGTGGGATTACAGGCATGAGCCACAGCGCCTGCCTTTTTTAATGTTTAATTTTTTGTTTTGTTTTGAGACAGACTCTCTCTGTCACCCAGTTTGGAGTGCAGTGGTGCAATCTCTGCTCACTGCAACCTCTGCCTCCTGGGTTCAAGTGATTCTCCTGCCTCAGTCTCCTGAGTAGCTGGGATTAGAGGCAGGTGCCACCACGCCCGGCTAACTTTTGTATTTTTAGTAGAGACGGGATTTCACCATGTTGGCCAGGCTGGTCTCAAACTCCTGACCTCAGGTGATCCACCTGCCTCAGCCTCCCAAAGTGCTAGGATTATAGGCGTGAGCCACCACACCCAGCGAGTTTATTGTAAAGCAACAGAGGAGCTAAAGGGGGCCTGCCGTGGCAGAGCTCTGAAGGCAAGTGGGCTGCACACAGACCACAGCGTCTATACTCACTCGCGCAGGCCTCAGTCCTGCTGCCCCATCACAGGGAGCCCAGCAACGCTGTAATTCCCCATTCTTCAGGACAGAAATCTACCATGACCACAACTAGTGTGAGTTCCCCTCTCCCTCCCTCAGGCATTTGTTAATTCAGCAAGTCTTTGCGGAAGGCCTGCTGCTGCTGATGGGCCCAGGCAAGGCCCTGGGGGACTCGGGAAGAACTGGAGGCCCGCGGTGCCCTCTCTGTCACCTGCCAGCCACCAGAAGCCCTGGGAGGCATGGCTTTCCATCTCATTTTGCAGACGTGAAAGCGGGTCTTGGAGGCATGGGGGCGGCCCCGCTCTGTCCACCGCCAGCTCCTCCAGTGTCCTTCCACCTCCCAGGCTCCCAGCATTCCTTTTTCCAGGTCAACCTTAGCCACATCCCTCACATGTCTGGAACCTTGCCCCCTGACATGGGTCTCTGCTGCTAAGTCCCCCTTCTGTCTGCCAGCCACCCTACTGCTGCCTGCCTGGGCCACCTCATGCCCTGTGAGCCCCTCAGGGTCTGCCCTATGGCTGAGCCCACTCTCCCTCTGCCTTCTTGAAAGGTTCCCACCACCCTGGGCAGTCCTGGGTGGCTGCTATCAGGAGACCTAGTGAAGAAGGGGCTGGGGGCCTGCCGGAGACATGGTCTCTCTCATCCAGATTTTCACGGCACTCTGGGAGGGCCCTTCCCTCAGGCTTTCAGGGTGCCAGATGTCCAGTTGGGGGTCTAGGTTCATGTTCCCACTCTGCAGCTCACCACAGGCAACCTTAGCCACATCTGTCTCCCTCCAGGCCTCTCAGCTCAATTCCCTGTAAAATGGAGTACCCATACCAGTAAATTTCAAGTTCCTTTCAGATGTGTGCGCCTGTGGCTTCCAGAAGCTCTACAAGAAGACAGATGCAGGGTGCACTCTGGAAACTTGGACTGTGATCACAAGTCAGCCCACTGTCCTCTCCCAAGCTCCTTCTAATCCAGACCTCTGTTGGGTGAGGCAGGAGGACCCCAGGATCCCCACCATGCAGATGTGGAAGCTGGAGCTCGGAGACGACAGGCTCCCCAGGACAATGGCATAAACAGAGGTGACAGAGCTGGGGCCATGGTTGCTGACCCAAGTTCTGTTCCCTGTCCTTCCCCCGTTGCTGCCTCCCCAAGCCAGGCCCTTCCTGGGGGGTCTGTGGGAGCAATGGACCAGGTAGGATGGAAAAGCTGCTCCTTGCTCCCCTTGCCCGCTCCTCCCCAGAGCCACATTGAAATTTCCCTTCTGGAATGACCCTTGGGGACTAGTGCGAGCAGGTATCAGCTCCAAGAGTAAGGGATGAACCTGCCTCGTCTCCTCTGTCTTCCCAACATGTGCCTCGGCGCCTGGCCTGGCACACAGTATGTGCCTGCTAAATATTTGCTGAGTGAGCGGCTGGAGGGTGGCCCTTGCTATGGGCTGGGTGGCTGTGGTCAGCTCCTAATGATCACTCTGACTCCAGAAATAATCCCAGGTCCCTGGGGTGTGTGCATAGCCACCCACATGCCTGCTCACTGCCTCGCTCACTGGTTCGCTGCCCTCCATATGTCCCAAATTCCATCTAGACCAGCGTTTTTGCAGCTCAATGGAGTGAAGAGCAAACCATTTTTTTTTTAATTTTTTTAGAGATGGGGTCTCACTCTCTTGCCCAGTCTCGAATGTAGTGGTACCATCATGGCTCACTGCAGCCTCTACCTCCTGGGTTCAAGCAATCCTCCCAAATAGCTAGGACAACAGGCATGGGCCACCACACTTGGCTAATATTTTTTTTCAATAGAGATGGTGTCTCACTAGGTTGCCCAGGCTGGTCTTGAACTCCTGGCCTCAAGTGGTCCTCCTGCCTCGGCCTCCCAAAATGTTGGGATTACAAGCGTGAGCCACCACATCTGGCCCAAGGTTTTTAAAAACCAATTCTTTGCAGACCAATACTTCTGTAACATACAATAAAAAACAATTACTAAAAATGATTCACAGTCTTGGAAATTGCAGCCACATCAAATTGTTACAGGAGTTTCTAGACTATACTTGTCTAAGTTCTGTACTCATCTCTGACCTTGCTGAGGATCAGTGACAAACAGCGCAAGGAGGTCCCACTCTGCAGACCTCGCTCAGAGGGTACTGCTCTGGGTCTTGTCATTTTAGGTGATTACATCGCCCCTCCATTCCTATTTTGCCTGACAATCCCTCACCCTGGCTCCTGCACACCCGATCTATCACCAACTGCCTTCCATCGTAATGTTTTGCTGGTGGGAGCTCTCCTCTCTGGCCCCCAGGCCAGTACCAGCTCTCCTGCTATCAGTCTTTCCTCCACCTGGCCAGGATGAGCTTGCTAAAGGTCTATAGGGTTCCATCACCCCTGAGCTGAAATCCTTTGTGGTTCCCCATTAGGACTCCCAACTCTTAAATCTGGCATTCGAGGTGGCTCACATGCCTGTAATCCCACCCTTTGGGAGGCTGAGGTGGGCAGATCACTTGAGGCCAGGAATTTGACATCAGCCTGACCAATATGCTGAAACCCTGACTCTACTAAAACAAAACAAAAATTGGCTGGGCATGGTGTTACACACCTGTAGTCCCAGCTACTCGGGAGGCTGGAGTGAAGGACGTTGGAAATAGGTGGTAATAACACCCCTACCACTTCCTGAGTGCTCACTGTGGGCCAGGTGCTTTCTACCTAAAAGACATGCATATCTACTCGCTGAGTTCTCATAACTGTCAGTATGGAGCAAGAGATGGCAGGCAGGCCTGATTTAACTACAATCTGCAGAATCCATACATGCCCTGCAGTTAAAAACCAATGGCTCCTGGCCTTTCTTCTTGTTTTTCTATATTTTCTAATTTGCCAGCAACAAATATGTATCACATAGTTTTGTTTTGTTTTGTTTTTTGAGACGGAGTTTCACTCTTTTTGCCCAGGCTAGAGTGCAATGGCCCAATTTCAGCTCACCGCAACCTCTACCACCCAGGTTCAAGTGATTCTCCTGCCTCAGCCTCCCAAGTAGCTGGGATTACAGGTGTGCGCCACAACACCAGGCTAATTTTGTATTTTTAGTAGAGATGGGGTTTCACCATGTTGGCCAGACTGGTGTCGAGCTCCTGGCCTCAAGTGATCTGCCCGACTTGGCCCCCCAAAGTATTAGGATTACAGGCATGAACCAATGCGGCCAGCCTATCATGTGGTTTTTGACACTGGGTTTTATTTATTTATTGTTTTCTTACAGAGGTAATCAAGTTAGCCAGTGGTTTTTAACTTCAGGGCATGTATGGATTCTTCAGATTCCAGTTAAATCAGGACTGCCTGCCATCTCTTGCTCCATTCTGGCAGTCATGAGAACTCAGCGAGTAGATATGCATGTCTTATAGGTAGAAAGCACCTGGCCCACAGTGAGCGCTCAGGAAGTGGCAAGGGTGTTATTACCACCTATTTCCAATGTCCTTCACTCCAGCCACTGCCTGACTTGTTCTCAAATCTCTCCTCTTCTTCCCTCCCTACGACCCATCCTAATACAGGTTGTCATCATTTTTCACCGGTGTTAACACTCCAGCCCCTGGCCAGGTGTGGTGGCTTATGCCATCAGGATCTCAGGGAGGTGGGAGGGTCACTTGAGGCCAGGAGTTCTAGACCAGCCTGAGCAATATAGTGAGACCCCCCCCACATCTCTACAAAAGAATAAAAATTAGCCAGACACAGAGGTGCATTCCTGTAGTCCAAGCTACTCTGGAGACTGAGGCAGGAGGATTTTTTTAGCTGAGGAGCTTGAGGCTGCAACGAGCTATGTCACGCCACTGCACTCCAGCCTGGGCAACACAGCGACACCCCATCTAAAAAACAAAACAGTATCCTAATCTCCTAGTGGGTCTCCGGCCTCCACTCTCCAGCACCTCCCTCCCTTCCCCATCAACCACGCAGCTGCCACAATGCTTTGAGAGTGAACTTGGGGAAAAAAGGCTGACTGTTCTGGGCACAGTGGCTCACGCCTGTAATCCCAGCACTTTGGGAGGCTGAGGCAGGTGAATCACCTGAGGTCAGGGGTTCGAGACCAGCCTGGCCAACATGGTGAAACCCTATCTCTAATAAAAATACAAAAATTAGCTGGGCATGGTGGCGCGCACCAGTAATCCCAGCTACTTGGGAGGCTGAGGTGTGAGAATCGCTTGAACCTGAGATGCAAAGGTTGCAGTAAGCCGGGATCATACCACTGCACTCCAGTGGTGACAAGAGTGAGACTCCGTCTCAAAAAGAAAAAAAAAAAAATAGGCTGACTGTGTCACCACCACTCTCCTCACCCTTCTTAAACTATCTCCCAGCCGGGTGCAGTGGCTCACTCCTGTAATCCCAGCACTTTGGGAGGCCGAGGTGGGCGGATCACTTGAGGTCAGGCGTTCAAGACCAGCCTGGCCAACTTGGTGAAACCCCATCCTTACTGAAAATACCTAAGTTAGCCAGGTGTGGCGACACGCACCTGTAATTCCAGCTACTCAGGAGGCTGAGGCGGGAGAATCGCTCGAACCCGGGAGGCGGAGGTTGTGGTGAGCCGAGATCACGCCACTGCACTCCAGCCTGGGCAACAGAGCAAGACTCTGTCTCGCTCATGGTTCCTGACTGTCCTTAGGATAAAGTCCAAGCCTGGTACATAAGCCTCTACCAAACTTTCTAGAGTTACCCTAACCCCTCCCCTGTTCTCCACATCCTAATTCCAAAGTATCTTGCATGCCAAGTATCTCGCCTTTCTCCCTAATTTTCCATGTGCTTTCCCTTCTCTGAACCTTTGCTCACACATCTCCCTTTACGTCAAGACTCAAAAGTTGGCCGGGCGCGGTGGGTCACGCCTGTAATCCTAGCACTTTGAGAGGCCGAGGCAAGCAGATCACGAGGTCAGGAGATCGAGACCATTCTGGCTAACACGGTGAAACCCCGTCTCTACTAAAAATATAAAAACTTAGCTGGGCCTGGTGGCAGGTGCCTGTAATCCCAGCTACTCGGGAGGCTGAGGCAGGAGAATGGCGTGAACCCAGGAGGCGGAGCTTGCAGTGAGCTGAGATGGCGCCACTGCACTCCAGCCTGGGCGATAGAGCAAGACTCCGTCTCAAAAAAAAAAGACTCAAAAGTCACCATCAGGCCATTTTCCCCTCTATTCAATCCCTTCTCTCTCTGTAAGGTTGCACCCAAACATCACCTCCACCGGGAAGCCCTTCTCCGTTGCCCCCAGACACAGCTGACTTTGCTGAGCAACCCCAGCCCCATGGCCCCAGCCAACATGGTGAAACCCAGTCTCTACTAGAAATACAAAAATTAGCCGGGCATGGTGGCAGGTGCCTGTAATCCCAGCTACTCAGGAGGCTGAGGTGGGAGAATTGCTTGAGCCTGGGAGGCGGAGGTTGCAGTGCCCTGGACACTTTATAAGACTCTTGTGGGTCCCACTGACCCCACATTGCATCAAGCATGTTGAAATGTACCCACGTCACATGCTACATAGAACTGGTTGGCTATAAACAAGTTTTAAAGAGTCTTTTTTATTTTTCATTTAAAATTTTGAATAATTTCTCTGTTGCTATTTTTGTATACTTTGGAGCTGGAGTTTTCTTCTTTAGTTCTTAAGCACTTTTGTGGCCCAATAAAAAGTCTAGAAGTGATATGCTTTGTCCAAGTTTGGGGAAAAAAATAAATTAAAAAAAAAAAAAAGGCCAGGTGTGCTGGCTCGCGCATGTAATCCTAGCACTTTGAGAGGCTGAGGTGGATGGATCACCCGAGGTCAGGAGTTTGGGACCAGCCTGACCAACATGGTGAAACCTGGTCTCTACTAAAAATACAAAAATTTGTATTTTCGTATTTTTACAAAATACAGGCATGGTGGCAGGTGCCTGTAATCCCAGCTACTCAGGAGGCGGAAGTGGGAGAATTGCTTGAGCCCAGGAGGCAGAGGTTGCAGTGAGCCAAGATCATGCCACTGCACTCCAGTCTGGGCACCAGAGTGAGACTCCATCCAAAAAAAACCACTTGGCCAGGCAAGGTGGCTCACACTTGTAATCCCAGCACTTGGAAAGGCCTAAGCGGGCAGATCACTTGAGGTCAGGAGATGGAGACCAGCCTGGCCAACATGGTGAAACCCCATCTCTACTAAAAATACAAAAATTAGTCAGGCATAGTGGTACATGCCTGTAATCCCAGCTACTCAGGAGGCTGAGGCAGGAGAATCGCTTGAACCTGGGAGGCAGAGGTTGCAGTGAGCCGACATTATACCATAGCACTCCAGCCTGGGCAACAGAATGAGACTCCATCCAAAAAACAAACAAAGCAACTCTATAGTCCAGGAGCCTCCAATGTCAGGCATTCACTGTCTCCATCCCAGTGCTCATCGCTCTCTGTGTCCCCAAAATGAATAAATTCGTAAATTCCCCTAAAAATCTATCTTTAATCTCTCTGAATCTAATATGATGCAACTCACATTATTTCTGTATCTGTCAACTGTGTCTCTATAAGATACTTCTGTAATTTTTATCTGTTCTCTCTAAAGATCTCTGTTCACAACACACTGGGTGTCCAGCAGGCACGGTCGAGAGCCTGCCATGGCCCATGTGTTACCGTTCTTGAGCCTTGCAACAACTCATGAATAAATTCTATTATCCCTGTTTTACAGATTAGGAAACTGAGGCTGAGAGAGGGGAACTAGCTTGCAAGTAAGAGGCCACAGGGCAAAGAAGGGCTCTCAGGAGTGTTGACTCTAGTCCTTCTCTAACCTCTCTCAACCCCTCCTCTCAGTGGTGCTGCACCCATGCCAGCCGCCACTCCTTACTTGCTCCTTTTCCTACCCTCTGCTTCCAGGCAAGACGCAGATGTCATCTCCGTTCATACCCTTCATCTTGCCTCAACATCATCACCCCATTCCATCCCATAAACACTTCCTGAGTTCCTACTATGTGCCAAGCGCTGTGCTGAGAACTGGAATGAAAATAATGAATGCCAAGGTCACCAGGCTATGAGCTCCGAGGGCAGGGACAGAGCCCACAGCAGAGTTGGTGGGTCCTCATCAGCCCCTGTGAAGTGCCTGTGGTCTCCATATGTTCCCAAAGGAAGCTGGTTTCACTTTGAGCATGTTGGAGAATGTTATTTCAAACACCTTACACCTCCAAAGCCAGGCAGGGAGCCCTGGGCTGCCCCTCCTCAATGGTGTTGGCTTATTCCTCTGGGTGGGGCCTGTGTCCAGCAGCCCCTGGGCTGGTGACACCAACCACCCTAGTGCCCTGCACAGACTGCAGAGGAACACAGGGTCAGCACCATCTCGAGGGGCCCAAAGCCACCCTCCTGATAACCCCCCATATTTGGAAAGCACTTTAGTTTGCAAAAGGCTCCACCTTCTTTCTCCGTGTGTCCTCTCCCCACCCCAGCTATAAGTAAGGAATTTTCCCAGCCCACTTGGCCCCTAGCATCCAAGTTTGGGCAAGAACCCAGGAGTCCAGACTCCTAGCCCAATGTAGAAGAGCCTGCCAACTCTGTTTACTCCACAGTGCCCCAGAAAGGCCCTCTCTTTTCTAGACCTCAGCTCCCTGTCAGTACAATAAGAAGGTCCGGCTGGACAACCGCTAAGCTCCCTTCAGGCTTTAGCATGCCAGAGTCTACCGTGGGGGCGCAGGTGGCCAACTCCCAGGGGAGGAACCGAGGCCAGTGGCTGCACACACTGTGCCTGCACCATGCCGTCAGGGGAGGCATCATGTTCCGGCAGGACCAGCAGGATGAGTCACCAGATATGGAAATGACGCTGGCACACAGGAGGTCTGGGGGCCAATAAGCTCACCCTCGCCAAAACCACAGCTGAGGAGGAACAGTGCTGGGATCCCTGCGATTCGCCTAGCGGGCACAGGCTGCCAGGTGCAGATCCAGGCAGTCAAATGGTGTGCACAGTGTGCCTTCCAGCCCAAGGGTAGTGGAGGCTGCCCAGCCCTCCAATAACAATAATCATCACAATAAAAATAACAACACACAGTGGTTGGCTATTGTGTCGGGCACTTGACACCTGTTACCTTCTCTTACCTCTGAACCTGCCAGTTATGACATGACCCATTTTCAAGAGGAAACCCCGGGGCTCAGAGAGACAAAGGAGCTCTGCCCAGGTCACAGGGCCAAGGAGTGGGGCACCCTGCTCTGACTGCCCCAAAGCCCTCATCCTCCGCACCCCACTGCCTCTGCGTCCCACAGAGTCTAGGCTCATTTCGGCTCGGTGGCCAGCCTGAGGCCCTGGGGAGGGGAAGGGGTGTCAGGACGCCCAGGTGCAGATGACCTGGGAGGATTCTGACTCAGCCCCACAACTGGAGCAGGAGAGCACCACACCCTCCTAGGCCTCCTGGAGCCTCGCCAAGGCCTTCCTTAGGGTATGACATTCGGATGTCAGGAGACCTGCTGGTCCTCAGTGACCACAGGCCAGGCTGAGGCTGCCACAGGGGCCTGAGCTGACGAGGAAGGCTGAGCCCCCTGTGATGGCCGACAAGCTCCAGCATCCCCACACGCAGGCGGCCAAAGGTGCCTGCAGCCACCCGGTAGAAATGTGTCTGAACTGGGCCTGGAGCCAGGCAAGTGGGGCTCCTGGATCCTGGGACAGAGGGTACAACTCAGGACCCCAGGCTGGCACTCCACAGCACCATCCCCAGGGCATTTCCCACAAGGAGCACCTGGATCTCTCAGCAAAGATGGGGGCAGACTGGGAGAGCCCAGGAACTCAGGGCCAGCTGCCCAGCAGGCCCACCTCGGGGTAGAGGGTACGGCCGTCTGGGAATGAGGGAAGACAGAAGGGGGAGGCCCTGGGTGAGGGAATGACAGGAGGGGGTCTTCATCTTGTGTAGGGACGGGGGCGCATCTGTGGTGAAAAGCAGGACCCATCTTGGGGCGGCGGGTCCTCCTACCAGGGCGGGCTCCTGTACCAGCCAGACCCTAATGCCCTGCCTTTGACATCTCCGTCTCAGCCCCCACCACACCTCTCCTCTCCTCTCCTCTCCTCTCCTCTCCCTCTCTCTCTCCCTCTCACATTCCTCTGGGAGTCGATCAGTGCTTGAGTGACACCCCAGATGACTCTTTGCTATTAATTCCCACACACAGAATGGGCCCCTTGTTCTCTTCTCTCGGAGGAATGGCCGTGGCCAAAGCCATCCCAAGAGTCCCTGACTTAACCCTTCTCCTGGCCGGTCCTCTGCACATCCCACGCCCAGGGCCACAGGGCCAGCAGTAGGGAGGGTGCAGAGAGGGAGTCTGGAAGGAACAGGGGCTCCTTCCAGCCCACAGCCCCTGGAATAAAGTCCCCAGGGTGGGACAGCAGGACCACCCCAACCTGCCCAGGGAGCCTGACAGCAACTCCTCACCTGAGGTTCTCACCAGGCCCTGGAAGTCAGAAGGCCTGTCCAGATGTAAGTGTGAGGCCCAGGGTCCACAGCCTCCCCAGGGCCAGCCTGATGTCTCTGGACCCCAGGGAGGCCCCTTCAAGGGGCAGGTGGAAGGCTCAGACCCTCGGCCCGGCCCTGGCCTTGAGGGAGTTAACACGGACTGGAGGCAGGACACCACCTGTCAGGGCAGGTCTCTGAGGAGAGATGAGGCGGCCATGGCCTCTTTTGATCACAGGATAAATTGCTCCGTTGAGTAAAAGCCCAACATCCCCTCATTCCCTGCCCCTGCCCCACCCCCAATCGACCAGAGGCGGGAAGGAAAGGCTTAGACAATGAGAGAGAGGGAAGAGCTTGTGAGGAGAAACTGAGGCCCCGGGAGGGGAAGAACATACCCCTCCACTCCCACTTCCCACCCTCTCCCTGCCTCTTCCCCAATTCCACAAGCCGTCTTGGCTCTCTGGGCGCTGGAAAGCTCTCACCGGAAGGGGACACAAACACCTGCTCTTCCATCAATCTGGGCAACCCTGGCTCTCGCGCCAGGAGATGGTACAAATCCTGCGGTCCATGACTCTGTGAGGGTCGTGTCCTAGGGAGGCTCGGACGCATCCTTACCTCCTGCCTGTCCCCCCTCGACAGACGGTGAGCTGTGGGCTCACAGGAGGTGAGGTCCCTGGGACAGCCAGAGAAAGGGCCCCGGGGCAGTCTCAGGGAAGCTGGAAATGGGAAGAGGGAGATGCGGAGCTGGGCACAGGCACGAGGGAGGGGCAGGGTGACCCAGGGCATGCAGGGGACAGAGCCGGGTGTCCTGGGGAAGGTAGGCTGGAGCCAGGTGGGGAAGACTGCAGGTTGCCACAAGCCTTGGCTTCTCTAACTTGTCAGCTCTCCCCATCTCTGTCATTTTCCCAGGGTCCTCCCCACATTTACAGAGGCAGGGCAGATGAGAGGTGGCACAGGACAGAGACAGAGAAATTCATGGAGGGAGGGACAGAGAGAACGCATCAGGGAGAGAAAAACAGGGAGAGACAGAGACAGGGCTGGAGAGAGACAGGGAGCCAGGGCAGGAGGGCCAGGACAAGAAGGACACCAAGAGGCAGGAGCGACCAACTGTGGGATGTGGGGTCAAAATTAAAAAGCTTCCCAGAGAGAGGAGGCTGGGGACAGAAAGAGGAGAAGGAGGGAGCAATGGACAGAGAAAGAAACAAGGTGGAGGCCGAAGTGGAAAAGAAGGGAGAAAGGTCAGGGGGAAGAGGCCTTCAGAGGAGGGGATGGAGGGGAGACTCCGGCTGGGAAGCTCAGGGCCCTCCCAGGCCCCTCTGTGTTTGTTCCTGGCAGGTCCACAGCACACACCCTCCCCAGGCAGCACCCTGCTCCCTACGGCCTGCCACCTGTGTCCCAGCTGGCCTGCCACCTGTGTCCCAGCTGGCACCCCAGAGGATGCAGCCAGCCACTGCAGCCCTTGCCTTCCCGAGTAGGACACAGGAGTGGGGTGGCCTGCCCTAGGGGTGGGAGTTTCAAGGCTGGGGAGAGGCCCTTAGACCATCTATGGCAGTAGTGCCTCCACCAGGTGCGTCGTAATCGCAGCGGAGATTTAAACATACAGATGTCCCACCCAAATCTACCACTCAGAATGGGGCCTGGGAATTAGTCTTTTAAAACTCCCCAAGGGCTTGTGTTCTTTGGCCCCAGGTTTGGACCACATTGGCAGATGAGGAGAATGACAGTGGCCAGAGAGGGGCTGTGCCCCACCCAAGGTCACACAGCAATTACTGACAGAGCCCAGCCTTTCAGTGAGGCCTCCCAGGTCCCACCCAGGGCTCTTCCTCCTGTTGAGTGACACTGCAGCTAGGTCTGCACAGGGCTGGGCACACAGGAAGGGTGTAAGTGGGCAGTGCCCTCTCCCTCTCGCTCCATCCCTCCTGCCTCAAGGCCCCAGCCAAGCTCTCCAGGGGCTGCCAGGGCAGTCCCCAATTTCAGGCCAGAAACCAAATGAGGGAGAGGAAGGGATTTGCCCAGAACTGGATTTCTGTCCCCCACTGCCCCGCCCTTGTCCCCCTAGTGCCAAGGCCTGGGGCTGTGAGCTCTCTCGCCAGAGATGGGGGCGGAGGGTGGGGCAAAAGGGAGGAGGGGAAGACCCGGGTGCTTCCTGTTCCCCCCTCTTTCCCTGCCTCCCTGGGCTCAGGGCTGGGTCCCCTGGGGCAGTGGTATCTGAAGCTGACAGATCTGCCCTGTCCTTCCTGCCTGCTGGGGGAAGGGGTGGAGCTGGCTCAGATCCCCCATCCCCTCCTCCTCTTCCCTAGGTCCTCAGGGGCTTGGCTGCCCATTAAACCCAGCCTGGTCCCCCAGGGTGTCCCTGCTCCAGAAGAAGGAAGAGCACTGGACTAGGAGTCACGACCACCTCCATCAGTGAGAGGCCCTGGACAGCCTCATCTAACCCTCAGCCTCCTCCTCGCTCTTTATTTTTTGAGACAGGGTCTCACTCCTGTTGCCCAGGATAGAGTGCAGTGCCACGATCATGACTCACTTCTCAGACTCAACTTCCCAGGCTCAGGTGATTCTCTCACTCAGCTTCCCGAGTAGCTGGGACTACAGGCACACACCACCACACCCAGCTGATTTTTTTTTTTTTTAATTTTTAGTAGAGATGGGGTTTCGCCATGATAACAAGTAGAAAGGGGGTTGCCCAGGGTGGTCTTCAACTCCTGGGCTCAAGCGATCCACCAGCCTTAGCCTCATAAAGTGCTGGGACTACAGGTGTGAGCCACTGTACCTGCCTCTCCCAGCTTTTTACCCCCCATTCTGTCCTCACCACTCATTCATTCATTCAGGCAATCAGTTGATCACTGAGGACTTAGGAAGCTGCCCTCATGAAGTAGACATCCTTGTGGGGAAGACAGACAATGAACAACTAATCCGCCAATAAATATGTGATCATAAATTGCAATGAGTGCTATAAAGGAAAAGTCCAGGGTGCTGTCAGAGAAAACAGCTGGTACTGGAGGGTCGAGAGAGGCATCTCTGTAGACATGAGCTTTAGGTGATCCCCCAGGAGGAAGTCTCCCAGCAGGGAAGGATGTGAGGGGACTCTCCATGCAGCGCTAAGGGAATGACAGACCCAGGAGACAGACCTGCCAAGCTATCTCTCTGATCACTGAGGTTCAGCAAGCACTTATTGAGCATCTGCTGCGTGCTCACATGTCCAACCCCGAGCACTTGGGGGACAAAAGGTGGGAAACAAAAGCAAATGTGGGCCTGTCTCAGTAGAGCCCTAAAGCCCCTGACAGCAAATCTGATAGACGTCAGAGGCCAGCTCCCTCAATGCACTGATGGAGAATGTGCCAGAGAGGGTGGCTGGCTTCCCCAAGATCACACAGCAGGAGCTGGGACCTTGGCAGAGTCGGAAGCAGCTCCTCCCATTGCACCTGCCAAAGCAGTCACTGCGATTTCAACTCTGGGTTCTAAGCCCTAAACTCTCTGATTTCTCAATTTGCCACCTGGTAGAGAGGTGAGGTAAATATAAAACACCTGTGCAGGTGGCGCACACCTATAATCCCAGCATTTTGGGAGGCCAAGGCGGGAGGATAGCTTGAGCTCAGGAGTTCAATGAGACCAGCTTGGGTAACATTGTGAAACCCTGTCTCTACAAAAAAATACAAAAATTGGCCGGGTGCGGTGGCTCACGCCTGTAATCCCAGCACCTTGGGAGGCCAAGGCGGGTGGATCACCAGGTCAGGAGCTCGAGACCACGGTGAAACCCCGTCTCTATTAAAAATATAAAAAATTAGCCAGGCATGGTGGCGGGCACCTGTAGTGCCAGCTACTCAGGAGGCTGAGACAGGAGAATGGCATGAACCCGGGGGGCGGAGCTTGCAGTAAGCCGAGATCACTCCACTGCACTCCAGCCTGGGCGACAGAGAGAGACTCCGTCTCAAAAATAAATAAATAAATAAATAATAGCCAGGCGTGGTGGCTGGTGCCTGTGGTACCAGCTACTTGGAAGGCTGAGGTGGGGGATCGATTAAGCCCGGGAAGTAGAAGCTGCAGTGAGCCGTGATGGCACCCCTGCACTCCATCCTGGGCCACAGAGTGAGACCCTGTTTCAAAAACAACACAAAACAAAATAACACCTGCTCACAGTGAAGCACACACAGCTGAAGGTGAGCTGGGGTGCGTGTGTGTGAGGCCCTCAGCCTGGCAGCCTAGCAGATATTATACTTCCTGTGTGAACCGAAGCCCCTGACATGTGAACACACCCCAGGGCTGTGCCTGGGTTCCCTGTTGTGATCTCAGTAAGCTCAACTCTGCACCCTAGAAAGGGAAGAGGTTTTCCCGGGCTTGATTATAGACAAGACAAAAGCCATCACACCTGGAAAATGCGGGGCATTAACTGGCAGTTGAAATGACTGAAAGAGGCAACTACTAGGTCTTGTTTTTGTCAAAGGTGCTAGGCTGAGCACTTGCCATTCCTTACTTCTTTTGAGACGGAGTCTTGCTCTGTCGCCCAGGCTGGAGTGCAGTGGCGCGATCTCGGCTCACTGCAAGCTCCGCCTCTCGGGTTCACGCCATTCTCCTGCCTCAGCCTCCTGAGTAGCTGGGACTACAGGCGCCCGCCACCATGCCCAGCTAATTTTTTGTATTTTTAGTAGAGACGGGGTTTCATCATGTTAGCCAGGATGGTCTTGATCTCCTGACCTCGTGATCCACCTGCCTCGGCCTCCCAAAGTGCTGGGATTACAGTCGTGAGCCACTGTGCCCGGCCCTTTTTATCCTTGTGACATGGCAGGTATCGTGATTCTCATTTTACAGACAGGAGATTGAGGCATGGGAAGGTTACTTAGCTTATCCCAGTCTCACTGGTAAATGGGGCAAGGGCCAGCCTTGAACTCTGGTCTCTGGATCCCCAGCTCAGCTCATCATCACTCGGCTCCCATTTTCATTAACAAGTGACATCAGCGAAGAATAAGAAAACCTTATGTCGGCGAGGAGGATCCTTCAAGCTCAGACAAACGCTAAATTCTGACTGGATCACCCCATTTTTACCTTTAAGGGACAGCAGTAAACCGGGTGAGAGCAGTAAGATGGGTGGGCTGAGCTCCCTTCCTGCCCAGCCCTGGTCTGGGGCAATGGCCTGGATCACAGAGGAAAATGACAAGGAATCTGGAATGAGAAGACTTGGTCCCATTGTCGTTGTCAGTTCCTAAGCTGGGCAACCTTGACAAGCCCCTTCCCCTAAGCTGCCAGCTGCCTGCCAGTGGTGAAAGGACAAAGGTCTCATGAGCCATGTGCAGCCCACCCTGCTCAGACCATATTTACAGACAGCTCTTTTCCACTCCAGGGACAACACCAATGGACCCATCTCATAAAGGTCCCCTCTGCCCCCTCTCTTCCTTCCCTCCACCTTCCCCACTCTCTTAATCCTCATGCATGTCTGCACCATGTTGCCTAGTGTCTAGACATGTATGAATGAACAAGCTCCCTAAAGACAAGGGGCACACTCACCCCTCTTTATTTACCCCACAGACAGCAGGAGCTTGCCTAGGGTAGGTCCCCAGGAACCCTGGGAACAAAATGTCACAGCAGACATGTCCAGTTCCATGACTAAACAGTCATGTGAGCTCAGTCACTTGCTTCCCCTTCTGCTTTGGTTCCATGGATGGCCATCGGCCCTGGCTCTGCAGCCTCTGTGGTGACTGGGAGCAGACGGGGAACATCTGATGACAGCATTTTGACAGGATAAGAAGCAATAACTAATATAAAAATTAGCCGGGGGGCGGGCACGGTGGCTCACACCTGTAATCCCAGCACTTTGGGAGGCCGAGGCGGGCGAATCACCTGAGGTCTGGAGTTTGAGACCAGCCTGGGCAACATGGTGAAACCCCATCCGTCTCTACTGAAAGTATAAAAATTAGCAAAGCATGGCGATGTGCACTTGTAATCCCAGCTAGTCGGGAGGCTGAGGCAGGAGAATTGCTTGAACCTGGGAGCCAAATGTTGCAGTGAGCCAAGACCACACCACTGCACTCAAGCCTAGGCAACAGAGTGAAAGAGTGAGACTCTGTCTAGAAAAAAAAAAAAAGAAGAAGCAATGACTACTCTAAACCCAAGGTCAACCAACAGCCACCTTGGCGGCAGATCCCCAAGCTGCTGGTAACAATAGCTACCATTTACTGGGTTCCGTCATGTGCCAGACCCTGTCTTAAGTGTTTACATACCTTATCTGCTTTAATCCTCACCACAACCTGGAAGGAAGCTGAGACTCAGAGACCTTAACTCATTTGCCAAGGACACACAGCTAATAAATGGAGGTGTCAGGATTCAAACCTGGAGCTAGAGCCAGGCATGGTGGCACACACCTATAGTCCCAGCTACTCAGGAGGGTGAGGTGGAAGGATCACTTGAGCCCAAGAGTTTGAGACACCATCTCTAACAATGTTTTTTTAAACCTGGACTGTCTTAACTCAGGAGCGCATGCTCATTCCTTCCCCACATGCTGCCTGCACACATTCTCTTCCATGCAAGCCCTTCATCTGCTGACGTCACTCCTATGTAACAGGCACCACGGAGGAGGTGGGAAGGACCCAGCCCTCAAGTCCACACCCCAGCAGGGACAATGCAGGAGGACAATGAGAACTCTGAAGGCATGGGAACACAGGGAACTGGGGGTCAGTGCCATATTCTATTCAGCTGCTTCCCTGGCCTGACACTGAGTAGTCACCTGGTACACGTCAAACAGGTCTGAACGGAGTTGGAAACCAAGGCAGGGTGACCCCAAAGTAAGGAACATGCACATCTCACTCAGGGGCCATGGTGCCTCCACATCCACCTCAGGCAACTATGTCCTCTCCAGAACAGGGTGAAACTGGTTTCCATCAAAAACTCTACAAGATGTTAATAGGTGGTAAAAATAATAGAATAATAAATTAAAGATTCATATTAAATATTTTAAAGAGCAGTTTTTAACTGCAGAATTTAGAACTTTTAGCATGCTTAGAGGCAATGCATCTCTTTTACTTAAACAGTTTAAAAAAAATTTGTTTTAAATAATGGTGGCCAGGCGCAGTGGCTCACACCTGTAATCCCAGCACTTTGGGAGGCTGAGGCAGGCAAATCACCTGAGGTCAGGAGTTCAAGACCAGCCTGGCCAACATGGTGAAACCCCGTCTCTACTAAAAATACAAAAAACTAGCCGGGCATGGTGGCATGCGCCGGTAGTGTCCCACCTACTCAGGAGGCTGAGGGAGGAGAATTGCACAGGAGGTGGAAGTGGCAGTGAGCCCAGATCACGCCACTGCACTCCAGCCTGGGCAACAGAGCCAGTCTCAAATAATAATAGTAATAATAATAACAATGGAAACGGGGGTCTCACTATGTTGTCCAGGCTGGTCTCCAGCTCCTGGACTCAAGCAATCCTCCCACCTTGGCCTCCCAAAGTACTGGGATTACAGGCGTGAACCACCACGTCCCACCCTTACATCTCTAAAAAGAGGAAGCAGAAAGCAGTGTTTCCCAAATGTCTTTCAAGAGATGCCTATCAGTGTCCTGAGGAACACCAAGGGTCTGAGGCATCACGAGGCATCACCTTGCAAACACTGGATCAGGCACGGGCCTCTTGTTTTGAAATACAATTCATGGGTTATCAAATATGGAAACACTCTCAGAGATCAGCTAGCCTGCTGATTTTACATTGTACAGATGGGGAAACTGAGGCCCAGAGAGGGAAGAAGGTTGCCAAGGCAACACAGGGCCTCCACAGCCATTGGGTCTTGACCCCAGCTCTTGGGGTCCAGAGGCCCAGCTCCAGCTGCCTGTTTGGCCGTGCCAGGTTCCAGGTTTCTACATCGGTCTCTCCCATCAAACCCTCAGCTCCTCAAAGCCAAGGTCTGGTCTCTCTCACCTCCCAGTCCCAGCTCCTGGCCCAGTGCCCTGCACAGAGGACACATTCACAGAAGTTCCCAGCAGCTGGAGAGGCTCAGGGCAGACGCCAGGAAGGGCATTCCAGCAGCTGGGGACAGATGGCAGGAATGGGCAGTCAACTTCTCTGAAGGCTTCTCAGAAGAGAGCAGAGGCCAGGCTGCCAGAGGCAGTGCTGGACACTGGCCCCAGCTTCCTGGTTTCCAGAAAGGATGGAGTTGGGAGCGAAGGAAGATTCCAACCCCGGGAGCTGCCTTGCTGGCCTGGGTCCGAGACCCTCTGCTTGCACCAGAAACAGGGAGGGGCAAGAGCCCCTGTTGGGACAGGCCATGGAATGCCATCCTCCTCCCCCAGAGCTCAGACCCTCTGCCTCCAGGAAGCCACTCCTGCCCGCTCCAGCCTCCCTGGTCTTTTCCTCCTTGGAACTCTGACAGCAACTCGGCTCAGGGAAGGTGAGCCGAGGCTGAGCATGGCCTCAGGGGCTCCCAATAGGAACTGGAGACTGGCCTGTCCTCCAGGCTGTTCAGTAAGGAGGCAGAGCACATCTGAAGGTGTCTCCTCCTCTGAGGGAAAGTCATAGGGAAAAGAATTCCAACCAAGGTGCCCAAGGTGTGTCCTGGAAGAGGACCTCTCAGTGGGGCTGCAGCAGTGCCTAGACCGCCAGCAGGCAGAGGGAGGACAGCGCTCCAGGGGAAGGTGGAGCAGGCCCAAAGGCCCAGGCAAGGAGAGGAGGCAGGAGCAGGCCAACCTGCAGCTGCACTTGCAGCCTAGGGGCAATAGAGCAGAGTGGTCAGAGGCTGGGCTGGGACCAACCACAGGTCCCAGTCCACACCCTGTCATCATTCGCTGGGCGAGCTCAGGCCTGTCACTGAATCGCTTTGTGCCTCAGTTTCCTCCCTAAAATGAGAATAATAGCATCTACTCAGAGGGTTGTTGGGAGGATGAAGTCCGATGACAGGAGCCCTCACAGCTGAGCCGGCACCTGGGGAGGCCCTAGAGTGTCGCCTTCGCTGTTAAGGGGCATGGCAGAGGAGGCCCACCCATGACAGAGGAGCTTGTCATCCCAAGCAGGAATGCCACCTGGTCTGACATTAGGATTCAAAAGGCAAATGATAAACTCCTGACTGTGAGGCCGTGGTGGCTGCTCGGTTAATACTTGTGCACTTGACCTGAGGTGAGCATCCTCCACACCTCCCAGTGCTGGCCTAATAGCTAAATGATTTCCTCTGACTCACATTTATTGAGCAGTCACTATGCTAGGTAGGGGAGATGTGTGTGTGTATTCTTATTTAATTCTCTCATCACTTGGGGATATCAAGGGTGCATAAGATTATCAACATCGTACATATGCAAAAGCCGAGTCCTGAGAGGTTAATAGCGTGATCTGCCTAAGGCCCCTTGGGTACTAGTGGCAGGATTTCTTGACTTCAAGTCACTTTCCACTACATCCGAGACTGAGGATGACACAGCCTTATCCAAAGGTGGAGGTGGCCTAGAAAATGCTCAGGGGAGCTCCCACAGCCACCCCAGCGCACTCAGACTCGGCTGAAGACCCACAGGGTAGCTTCTGTCTGTCACTATGCTGCCCTCGACCACTAACCTGTGCCCGTCGGCCCTCCACCTTCCCAGTGCATAGGCCCTCCCCTGCCACACCCCAAAGCTCTCCGGATACCCCAGTATAACCTGCCTGGCTGGTGGGTCCAGTACCCAAGACCCCTCCTCCATCCCTGGTGATTTTGGCTCTGGAAGGGGGTCATTCACAGCCTCAGGGATCCAGAGACTCTGTGAAGACCTCCCAGGGAACTTTATGCTTGTACCTCAGCCCCAGAAATTCAGAATCAACCAGTCTGGGGTGGGATCTAGGCTCCAGTATGTTTTTTTGTTGTTGTTGTTGTTTGTTTTTATGAGACAGAGTCTTACTCTGTCACCCAGGCTGCAGTGCAGTGGTGCGATCTCGGCTCACTGCAACCTCTGCCTCTTGAGTTCAAGTGATTCTCCTGCCTCAGGCTCCCACGTAGCTGGGATTACAGGTGCGTGCCACCATGCCCAGTTAATTTTTGTATTTTTAGTAGACATGGGGTTTCACCATGTTGGCCAGGCTGGTCTCGAACTCCTGCCCTCAGGTGATCTGCCCGCCTCGGCCTCCCAAAGTGCTGGGCTTACAGGAATGAGTCACCACGCCTGGCTCAGTATGTTTTTCTTTTTTTCTTTTTTTTTTTTTTTTTGAGACAGAGTTTCGCTCTTTTTGCCCAGGCTGGAGTGCAATGGTGCAATCTCAGCTCACTGCAACCTCCACCTCCCGGGTTCAAGTGATTCTCCTGCCTCAGCCTCCCAAGTAGCTGGGATTACAGGCGCCTGCCACCATGCCCAGCTAATTTTTTTTTTTTTTTTTTTTTAGTAGAGACAAGGTTTCACCATGTTGGCCAGGATGGTCTCAATCTCTCGACCTCATGATCTGCCCACCTTGGCCTCCCAAAGTGCTGGGATTACAGGTGTGAGCCACCACACCCAACCAAGGCCCAGTATGTTTTTCTTAACTCCACAAGTGATTGTAAATTCAACAAGAATTAGAGCCAGTCCTAGGCAACTGATTAGAAATGCAGAACCTCAGGCCCCACCCCAACCTGAAGAATCCCAGTGCGCCTTCCCATTTGAGAAGCACTGCCCTACGCCAAACCCCGTATCCGCAAGCCAGGCCCTGTGAAAGGCCCCCGCAGGGAAACTGGAGGTAGGAGGGCACACAGTCCAGATAGAATTAAAGAGTGGAGGCCAGGACCCCCCAGGTCGCATCCACACAGCACTCAGAGGTGCTAAACGCTTTCCCTGTGTTCCCTCATCCCATCTCAGCCCTGTCCTCTGAAAGTCAGGAAGACAGTCTCATGCCTGTGTGGGGAAACTGAGGCTGGGGCAGAGCCTCAACTTGACCAGACCATCCCTCACTCCTGCATGGCCCCTGGTTCTGCAGCCAGCAGATTTCCTGACCTTCATCTCAGTGTATCCTTCAGGGCAGGCAGGGAGGGAGGGTGACCATCGCCCCACGTGACAGGTGAGGGACCAGGGACCCAGTGGGGGAACACAGGCGGAGCCTTCCATAAAGCCGGACCAGCTCCCTCAGGAAGAGGACTTGGGAGCTGGGGGGTGAAGGGTCACTGCTGACCGGAGGCAGCTCTGCCAGGCAGTGTCATCAGTGGGCTTCACGTTTGACTGACAGGTATTCCTTTCCTCTCCTCCTCTCTGGGGCCCATCTTCTGAGTAAATCCGGGACCTGCCTTAACAAAAGCCAGGCTGAGTCCCAGGAAAACCCTGTTGCTCCGGAAAGGCCTCCTTGGGCCATGGAAGGAAGCCTGGATTTCCACCATTACACTCAGACCGCAGACCCCTCTCTGCTGCAGAATAAACACCCTGAGAGAAGGCAGGTCATAGAGCCTACCAGACACCACACCTTGCCATGGACGGTGACAAACCCTCACTTCAGGACAGAGAGGTGATGGGGGGTGGGGTAAGGAGGTCACAAGCATCCCTGGAGAAGGGTCAAGAATGAGGGGGTAAAGGGACCCCTGCCACCCCCAGCAGGGAAAGGAGGAGAAGGTGACACTGGCCCTCCTGTTGTCCTGCTGGGGCAGAGGCCCAGGTGTCTTCAGCCAGGATCCCTCCCCTCTCCAAGCTCCCTGCTCTTCAGGAATGACTATGGGTCCTTCACCCTTGCCTGCTGGAGAGCACTGGGTTCCCAGGGCCTGGGATGGGATGGAGGGGATCCCAGTTGCCAGCATGGTGGGCAGGGATGTGTTCGCAGCAGGGGCCCCAACCACACACACACAGCACTGGTCATCTGACAGCCCTTCCCACCCGCCCTGCAGGCCCACCTGCCTCACCCAACACTGCTCAGCAAAAAGCCCAGCACAGCCCTGAGAGGAAGGCAGTGTCTGTGCGGGGACAAGGGAGAGAGAGAGGGAGTGGCCCCTTCTGTCTAGCGTGGCTTCCTGCAGACAGAGCGTGCCCACTGCTACCCCCACCCCCATCCTGGCACAGCTGGACCAAGGAGGGCAAAGGAGGAAGCAGGGAGTTAGAGAGGGGGCAGCTGTGGGACCCCACATTCCACCTCCTAACTCTGGGCTCTTTCCTTCCACAACCACCCCTCCTGCCCCAGGCGGGTCTCAGGCCAGTCACAGACACAGCAGAGAGCGGGGAGGTCCTTTCCTCAAAGAGGAGGAACTGAGGGGTGGAAGGATGAGTGGGGACCCACCGGGAGAGAGAGATGCCAGGCAGGCAGGCAGCGGGCGGGCAGCAGCGGGTGTTGGAGGCGACTGCAGGGCAGCCGGGACACGACGGCAGATGCTCGTCCCTCGTCCCTCTGTCCATCCAGGGCGGCTCCTCTCCGGGCGGTTCTGAGGCCGAGCGGGCGCTGTTAAAAAGCTTTTTATGTGTGTGTGTGTTAATCACATGATTGCCGTTCACCTGTATTTCGAACAAAGACAGCTCACTGTTTCAAGGCCCCGAACAAGAGTCTGGGCACAGGGAAGAGAAGGGAGGCGGGGGGAGGAGGGTTGGCAGCGCCGGGGGTGGCGTCGAGGAAAACTGGGGGGAGATTGTCCAAGGCCAGCAAGCGAGAGAAAGAGAAAACCCTTATCAAACTCCTAATTCACTGGGCTCCGAGGCCCCAGACACACTGGCCCGATTGTCTGGCTGGTTGTGTGTGTGAGCATGTGTGTGTGTGTGTGTGTGTGTGTGTGTGTGTGTTCCAGTGTCTGCTCCCCCCACCCCCAACATGCCTCTGCCTCGTGTGACTACCTCATTGTGTCCCATTTCCCACCCCCTACACCCCTTTGGACTTTCCCAAGCATGAGGCCTTGCCTCCCCAGACCCTTTGCAGCCCACTCCAGACAGGACCCCTTGGGGTGGTCTTGGGGCTTTGCCCTGCTGTTGAGGAGCTCAGAACGTCACATGGTTGCCAATGCGACCCCAGCTCCATTACATAACCCACATACACCCCACCTCGGCCTCAACACCCCGGCGGGGCTGCCCTCAGTTAAGAGAACAGCACTGCGACCTTTGGAGGAGAGGCCAAGGAAAGAGAGAGAAAAAGGTGTCAACGGAGGATGGGCAGGAAAGAAAAGGGGAGGGAGGGAGAGGTGGGCAGAGGAGGGAAGAGGCAGGGCAAGTCCCCACCCCTTGTTGGGGTGGGGGAGTAGAGGACTTCGTGACAATCAGGACTAGGACTCCCCTACCCTCTCCCAAGACAGGGTGAGCCCAGTGTGGAAGGAGCTGGGTCCCAGTAGGTAGCAACCCAAAATGCCTCTAAGACCTACTGAGAGAGGGCCCCCAACCTGTCCCACCTTGGCCTCCTGGCAGCTTTAGTCTTGTGTTTCCACCTTGAACCAGACCAGAACGCGCGTGTGCTGGGTGTCTGCAGAGAAGGGACCAGGGGTCAAGCTGGGGCTCTGCACTTCTCAGAGGGATCCCTGAGAAGTCTCTCTTACTGTGCAGGATGGGGCAGAAAGGGCTGCCTGGGAAAAGGTAGGAGGCAGGGTGAGGAGCTGGGCATCAGTGCCTGGCACACACTAGGCACTCAACAGGATTTCGCAGACGAAGCAGCTAGGGCCAGCCACCCTCACGGGCCCCCAGGACCCTCACCGCCTTCACGTCTCTCCCTAGTCCCCTGCCAAGTGCCCATCCTGCCACCTGAGGCAGACGTTAGGAGTCCTGGTTGGGCCCAATTTTCTTCCATCCAACAGGTTCTGACCCTCCAGCCTACATCTCTTCCTTCCTCGGCCTAACCTCCCCTCCACCTCCCAGACTAAGCCCAAGATAAGCCTCAGCAAGATGGGCCTGGGCAGTAGGGCAGGGAGCTGGGTGGGGGGGCCTGGGCTCCGGGTGGAGGAGCCCTGAGTGTTGGGGATGAAGGAAAGCCTGGAGGCTCCACCTTCTGCCCTTCCCTCCCTCCTCTCCCCTCCCCCCTCTCCCCCTCCTTCCTTCCCCAGCCCTCCGCAGCGGCTCAGGCTCAGTCGCTCAGTCAGTCTCGGGCTGTCCGGCCAGGGTGGTTGGTGGTAAGGATTCAGGCTCCGTCCTAACGAGGCCGTGGCCTGAGGCTCAGGGCCCCCCGCCCCTCCCTCCCAGCCCACCAGCGTCACCTCCCAGCCCCGAGCTGGACCGCACACCTTGGGACACGGTTTTCCACTTCCTAAGGACGAGCCCCAGACTGGAGGAGAGGTCCGAGGAGGTGAGTGCGCAGCCTGCTCCTCCCTGGCCCGCCCAGGCCTGGGACCCTGCTGTGAGGTGGAGAGAGGCGACACCCCGCCCTTGCCCCCCACCTGGCTCTCCTCTAAACCCCGTTGGGGCAGGCTGAGGGAAGAAGGAAAGGTGAGAGAAAAGGTGGGAAATTCCAGGGGCCGGGATTAGAGCAAAATAAAGGCTCCGTTTTTTTCTTCCTTATCATCAACAAACCTCCACCCAAAAAAGGAGGCTAAAAAAAAAGCCACCCACACCAAGAGACGGTTGGGACCAGGTGGTGGGAAGACACAGAGGCGGGACGCACCCACCTAGAGTCTGGCATGTGCGTGGGCCCCAGGGGCCAGATGGGTTTAGCTGGAGCAGGAAGGGCCGCCACCTCGGGGCTGTGCCCACGTCCTGTCTCGGGCCGCCCTCGGGGCTGCGCGCGCGGCCGCTCCATCGCGCCCTCCTTCCATCCAGGTGGGCGTTGGACTCTTTGCGAGGACCCCGGCGGCTGGCCCGGGGGAGGCGGCCGAGGCGGCGGCGGCGGCGGCCGGGGGCGACATGGCGGAGGAGCAGGACCTATCGGAGGTGGAGCTGAGCCCCGTGGGCTCGGAGGAGCCCCGCTGCCTGTCCCCGGGGAGCGCGCCCTCGCTAGGGCCCGACGGCGGCGGCGGCGGATCGGGCCTGCGAGCCAGCCCGGGGCCAGGCGAGCTGGGCAAGGTCAAGAAGGAGCAGCAGGACGGCGAGGCGGACGATGACAAGTTCCCCGTGTGCATCCGCGAGGCCGTCAGCCAGGTGCTCAGCGGCTACGACTGGACGCTGGTGCCCATGCCCGTGCGCGTCAACGGCGCCAGCAAAAGCAAGCCGCACGTCAAGCGGCCCATGAACGCCTTCATGGTGTGGGCTCAGGCAGCGCGCAGGAAGCTCGCGGACCAGTACCCGCACCTGCACAACGCTGAGCTCAGCAAGACGCTGGGCAAGCTCTGGAGGTGAGCACCCGACCGCCCCCCGGGCTCGGGCCCTCTAGCTTCGGGTGGATTCAGGGTAGCCGAGGCGGCCCGGCCTCCTGCACCTCAGAGCGGGACTGTCTGGCAGTCCTCCTTGGATAGGGCTGGAAGACCAGGTGTGGGGGCCGCGCCCGCCCTTCCATCACAAGGACCCTGGAACTCGGAACTCCAGCGGCCTAGGCCGGGTCTCCCTACGGGGCGGCGGGCAGGAAGGCGCCCCCTCGTGGTTGGAATTTTGCGGGTGGCAGACCGTGGGGCCTGGGGCTTTGGAGGGAGGGAAGGAGGCCTTCACTAACTCCTGCCCACAGATACGCACACTATGCCACCAGCTGCTGTGGTCAGGAGGATACGAGGGAAACGCTTGGAAAGAACCAAAGGGTTGGCTGGAGATTCAGGGAAACTGAGGCAGTCAGATGGAGAACTCAGGGGAGGTTTAAAGAAAACGGAATTCAGATGAGAGTCTTTGGAAGAGTGAGGGATGAAGAACTGCGGGACAAATCTGCTGCTGCGGGACCTCATCCTATCCTAGGGCTCTTCCCTGGGACTTTCTGACGCCACCCTCCTTTGAGTTGGGGGCTTCTTCATCCTCCTAGGGAGAGGACACACAGTAAGGGGCTCCCCCTCCTGCCCTGCCCCAGAGTCACCAAGCTGATCTCTTTCCTCCCTCTCCCAGTTCGGCGCCATCTTCCCTGCCAGGGCCCCACCCCAACGTTGAGCAACCTCTTCCCCACTGCCCCAGAGCTGGAGCTGAGCACTCTGGCCAGAAGGAAACCTTGGCCTCCTTCCTGCCCAGGGGCCCTCAGAGTCCCAGGTTCCCTGGGACCAGCCCACACCTCTAGGAAAAACATCCCCCGCAGGGAGCAATTATCCCACCCTCGACTCAGGTCTGGGGTTCAGCCAGGCCTCCTGGGGATGTGTGGAACAAGACAGTCCCCCACTCCCACCCGGGAGTGCCAGAGCAGCTCTGAAAGAGACCAGGGACTCCAGGAGATGTGAGCCGGTAGCAGTCACCTGATTCTCGCTAGACTGACCAAGAGACAGGCCCAGAAAGGCAAAGGAATCACAAAGGTCACATAGAAGTTGGTAGCAGAGCCAGGGCCAGAACCCAGGACTCCCATACTCTCTGTCCAGAGGACTTCCCCTGACCCTGGTGACAGTGGTGGATCACCTACACTTTGAGGAGTGGTCAGGAGGTTGGGGGGAAGCAAGAAGATGAGAACAAGAGTGAGGAGCATCTGGGTTCCAGAAAATTAGGGCTTTGTCAGAGGAGCCCGGCTCTCTTCCGCTGCCCTCCCCCTTGCCAGCCACAGTTGGGTAGAGATTGGGTCTAGAGGCTTAGAGTGGTAGAAGGTGCAGGAGGATCTCCAAGAGACCAAAAGATTCACATCCCGCCCCCTGGCCTGTTCTTGCCATGTGTTTGCTGAAGACCTGGTGCCCCTTCCCCTGCCCCTTCTCAGCCCTCAGTGCCCTGCTCACCCAGGGCAGGCCCAGGGCTCAGCGACCAGCCCGCTGTGTGGACCCAGACAGCCCAGTTCTGCCCAAGAGCAGAGGTCACAGCTAGCTCCTCCACCCAAGGTCCATCCAGATCTGGGTGGGGCTTGGCCCAGGCCAGTATCTTTAGTGCCAGGGGACAAAGAGCAAGTGAGAAACAGACAACCAGGAGAGACATACAGATAGGGCAGACTCTGGGGACCATGAGAAGACCACAGTACGAGCCCAACGAGAGTCAAAGCAAGGACGGACCTCATTTTCCCTCCATCTCCCATTGCCAAGGGTTTAAGATTGGCTCCTCCATTGTCCCTGTCCCCAGGTTCCCCCAGCCCAGAACCCTGGGCTTGGACTCCCTTCAGGAGGACTTATTCTTGGCCATCACTCAAGCTGTGTGCACAGGGGCCAGCCTGAGGTGTGGCAGTCAGGAAAACTGGCACTACTTGCTGAGGACCCAATCCCAATGGGAGGATGGGGCCAGAACCATGGCAAGGATCAAAGGCAATGCCAACAGAGGGTGGCTCCCTGGACCCTGGAGGGGGGTCCTGAGAGACATTTGGATTTGGGCTGGGCTGGCCAATTGCTCCAGGGGCTTCTCCTGAAACCTCCCCAAGCTGTGACTCCTGGGATGTCAAGAAGTGGGGTGGTTAGGTAGGCAGAGCTGGAAAACAGGTGTCTTAAAACCAAAAAGAGAAAGATACACACAGACTGTGTGGAGTGCCCCAAGGGAGTGTGGGATCAGACACACTGGAGCCCAGGTCCTAAGGGGCCGTGTCAGCCCCAACAGTCATTCTAACCTTTGATGCCCATCTGGGGAGGGGCTAGTTGAGGCTGATCACAGGGTGGTGCCTGTGGGTTGGCTGATCTGCCTGGAAAGAACCAGAGCCAAGAAACTGGAAAGGCGGACACAGGCAAGAGTCCCTCCTGTGTGGTGGGGGTCACCCAGCCTCTGTTCCCAGTGCCACAGGCCCCTTCCCCAAGTAGTCTTCTTATGCCCCTGGCCTAGCAGGACACAGGTAGCAGCAATCAGTGCCCCACTGTGGGAGGTCCCCGGTTGGGGTTTCCAGTTTGGGTGAGGAATCAGCCTACCTCTTCTTGCCCCCATTCCAAACCTGGGAGACCAGGGAGAAAGAGGGCTGACAGGAAGGTGCAGATGAGGACTGGGTTTGGAGTTAGAGCTGGAGGCGAAGTTGGGGGTTTGGGGCTGGTAATGTTGAGTGGGGACTGGTGCTGGAGATTGGGTTTACATGGTGGGCAGGCTGGGCTTGGGGTTGGGGTGGAGGTGGAATCAGCTGTCCGGCACAGCTGGTGGAGGAGGGAGCTGGGGTCGGGGATGGCAGTGGCCCCAGGCTTAGATTTCTGTCAGGGTTAGGCTAATGCTGGGAACTAGCTTAGGAGGTAGCAGCGGAATCCGATGTTGGAATCCTCTCTCTCTTCTGGCCCCTGTCACTTTCTTGCTGATGCTGGCTGCCAGCTGGGCAGGGGGCAAGGGAAGGATAGGTGAAAGAGTGAGCTCTGTGTCCCATGTCCCCAGCCATCCCAGAAGCCCCTCTGTTGGGGTCCACTGCTGGCGGAGCAGCTCTCTCCTCTGTGGGTTCTCCCCAGTCACACCCTCAAGGCCTGCTCCACCCCCTCCCCTGGTCCCAGCCGTCAGAGAGGGTGCCCACATCCCACTCCCTGACTCTCAAGGCCCTGCTCCGGCATCTTTGTCCTAAGTGTGTACACTGACTCTGACAGAGTCTCGGCTGGAGGGACCCTCTGAGAAAGCTGGGGCTAGGGCTGGGCTCAGGGCCGGGGTGGGGGGAGTAGACAGGGAGGCTAAGCCGCAGAGGAATGCTGCTGCCGGCTAGGAGGTGCCTGGCATGACCACCCCCGCCCAGCCTGGGGAGGGAGGGCTCGGCCTTCTGCTGACTGGGGGAAGAGGGCACTCACTGGGGTGTGAGGGGTGGGGCAGCTGAAGAGACAAGCCCTCTGGACTGACAGACAAGGCTGCTCCCACAAAGACTCATGGATTCTCAGTACCAAGGTCTGGGATTCTAGAATCTGGACTTTCCCCTCGACCCCCTCTGTAAGGTACCCCATCCTGCCCTCCTCACCCTGGGGCAGCCAAACCCTAAATGCCCTCCACCCTCCAACCCTGGCCTAAGGCTGGAGTCGGTGGCAAGGGCGCTGGCTTCAGGGCTTCTTCTCTCCATGTGTTGGTTTCAGGGACTGTTCCAGGGTCTGAGGAGAGGCTAGCTTCCTCTACTCTCTGCTATTTTCTGGACAAGGATATAGGATCCCCCACAGGAGGCAGTACCCCCCACCCAGACCCATGGTAAAGAGGAGCCACATCTGCCCCCTCAGTCCCACCACACTGGAATTCACACAATCAGGACCCAGAGTTAAGAGTCCAACCCTAGATCCTCCTGTCCAACCACCCCCGCAAGCAGCATTAGAAAAGCACCTCTTGGGGCCGGGCACGGTGGCTCATGCCTATAATCTCAGCACTTTGGGAGGCCAAGGCGGGTGGATCACCTGAGGTCAGGAGTTGGAGACCAGCCTGGCCAATATGGTGAAACCTCGTCTCTACTAAAAATACAAAAATTAGCCAGGCATGGTGGTGCGTGCCTGTAGTCCCAGCTACCCGGGAGGCTGAGGCAGGAGAATCGCTTGAACTCAGGAAGCCGAGATTGCAGTGAGCTGAGACCGCATCACGGCACTCCAGCCTGGGCGACAGAGTGAGACTCTGTCTCTAAATAAATAAAAAATTAAAAATAGAAAAGTACCTCTTGGGCTGGGCACAATGGCTCATGCCTGTAATCCCAGCACTTTGGAAGGCCAAGGCAGGCGGATCAACTAAGGTCAGGAGTTGGAGACCAGCCTGGTCAACATGGTGAAACCCCATCTCTACTAAAAATACAAAAATTAACCGGGCGTGGTGGCGCATGCTTGTAATCCCAGCTACTTGGGAGGCTGAGGCACAAGAATCACTTGAACCTGGGAGGCAGAGGTTGCAGTGAGCTGAGATCATACCACTGAGCTCTAGCATGGGTGACAGAGTGAGATTCCCTCACAGAAAAAAAAAAGAAAGAAAGAAAAGCACCTCTTCCTCAAGGTGCTCAGCCCGCTTCCCAGGCCCTGGTGCAAGGCATCTCACATCCATTATTCTGGCCAATCCCACACCCAAGTTAAGCCAATGTTATCATCCTTTTATAGGTGAAGAAACTCAGGCTCAGAGAAGTAATTTGCTCAAGGTCACACACACAGCTAGTAAGTAGCAGAGACTGAGTTCTCCCCCAGCCATGCTGCTTCTATTGCCCACCCTCAGTCCCAGGGAGCTCACCCCCACTGAAGTAGCCAATTCCACTTGCAGACAGCTTTGATGATGAGAAAGTTTTTCCTTTCCTTGAACTGGCATCTGCCCCTTGAAACCTCTACTCCTACTTCTAACTCCTCCTCAGGGGCTGCCAGGAGCAGCGGGCTGACCCCTCTCTCACCCTCCAGCCCATGAAAGATTTGGGGGCAGCCCTCTGAGGCTGTTATTCCTTGGGCCTCACATCTCTCAGTCCACAAATCATAGGGCACAGCCCCCACCCCGGGTCCTGTCCTCTGGGTGCCCCATCCCAGGGCCTCACATCTTCCAAGATGGACACTCAGAGGGAGGCCAACCTGGAGTGCTCTGGCATTCACGCCAGCCCCTCTGCTGTCCTCTCCGCCTCCCACCACACCCCAGGCTGCTGAACGAAAGTGACAAGCGCCCCTTCATCGAGGAGGCTGAGCGGCTCCGTATGCAGCACAAGAAAGACCACCCGGACTACAAGTACCAGCCCAGGCGGCGGAAGAACGGGAAGGCCGCCCAGGGCGAGGCGGAGTGCCCCGGTGGGGAGGCCGAGCAAGGTGGGACCGCCGCCATCCAGGCCCACTACAAGAGCGCCCACTTGGACCACCGGCACCCAGGAGAGGGCTCCCCCATGTCAGATGGGAACCCCGAGCACCCCTCAGGTGAGTGCTGATGACAGAGCTGAGGGTGGGGCAAGGCCAGTCAGTGGAGACAGGAGATGGCTGGATGGCAATGAGACCCTGGACTCTAGGGAGAGCGTGCCAGGCTGTGCAGTTGCCCCAGCAGAGCTGCAGGGGCCCAGAGGGAGCTCCATGGGGGTTCCGGTGCCAGGGGAAGTGGCTGGGTGAGATGGCTCTGGCCAGGGCTGATCCTACTGGGCAAAGAGGGCCAGTTAAAGACTGTGGAGGCCGCCGGGTGTGGTGGCTCACACCTGTAATCCCAGCACTTTGGGAGGCCGAGGAGGGCAGATCACGAGGTCAGGAGATCGAGACCATCCTGGCTAACATGGTGAAATCCCATCTCTACTAAAAATAAAAAAAATTAGCTGGGCGTGGTGGCGAGCACCTGTAGTCCCAGCTACTCAGGAGGCTGAGGCAGGAGGATGGCGTGAACCCAGGAGGCGGAGCTTGCAGTGAGCCGGGATCGCGCCACTGCACTCCAGCCTGGGCGACAGAGCGAGACTCTGTCTCAAAGAGAAAGAAAAAAAAAAAGACTCTGTGGAGGTCATGGAGTGAGAGGTGGCTGGGGCAGTTACAAGTAAAGGGGGAGAAGACAGGATGGTTTTGAGAAATGGAAGAGCAAATGGAGGAGAGGAAATCACTGCCTCTTTCCCACCAGCCATTCTTTTTTTTTTTTTTCTGGAGACAGAGTCTCACTCTGTCGCCCAGGCTAGACTGCAGTGGCATGATCTCGGTGCACTGCAACCTTTTCCTCCCGGGTTCAAGCAATTCTCCTGTCTCAGCCTCCCAAGTAGCTGGGACTACAGGTGCACACCGCCACGTCTGGCTCATTTTGTGTATTTTAGCAGAGACAGGGTTTCACTATATTGCCCAGGCCCAGTCTCAAACTCCTGAGCTCAGGCAATCTGCCCGCCTCGGCCTCCCAAATCCCACCAGCCATTCTGACAGAGGAGACATGGCATGTGATACCGTGTCTGGCCATGGATGGGCCAGACATAAGCTATCTTGTTTAATTTTCATTAATGATAATAACAGCTAACCTTAATTGAGCAGCTACTCTGTTCCAGGCACTGTGCTAGGTGCTAGTTGCCTTATGTATACTAACTCAATCCTTGCAAACAATGTGATGAGGTACCCAAACTGCCTGGGCTCAGATCTCAGCTGTGGCAAGTTACTCTCATTTTACTGATGAGAAACAAACAGGAACTTCCCCAGTTTGGCTCCCGGGCATCTGCTTGGCACCACAGCTGCCTTGCCTGTGTTCCTAATGTACAGAAAGTGACACACACAGGTCTGCCACATGGGAAGTGCTCAGTGAGCAGAGCTCTGCCTTCAGAGGACACGCTCTGAGTCCTACTTTGTGTCAAACACTGGAGTGGACACCAGGGGTACTAACCAGAGAAGCCTACAGTCCCTGGCCTCAGGGGCCCATAGTCTAGAGAGAGGAGCAGGGATGAAAACGAGTGAATTAAGTACAGGAAGAAACAAAGCTAGGCATGGTGGAATGCGCCCGCAGTCCCAGCTACACAGGAGGCTGAGGTGGGAGGATCACCTGAGCCCATGAGTTTGAGACCAGCATGGGCAATGTAGTAAGACTCTGTCTTTTTTTTGTTTTTGTTTTTGTTTGAGATGGAGTCTTGCTCTGTTGCCCAGGCTGCAGTGCAGCGGTGCCATCTTGGTTCACTGCAACGTCTGCCTCCTGGGTTTAAGCGATTCTTGTGCCTCAGCCTCCTAAGTAGCTGGGATTACAGATGCACGCCACCACACCCAGCTAATTATTGTATTTTTAGTAGAGATGGTTTTTCACCGTGTTGGCCAGGCTGGTCTCGAATTCCTGACCTCAGCCTCCCAAAGTGCTGGGATTACAGGCATGACCCAGCACGCCCAGCCTCCTATCTCTTACTATATATATAGTATATATATAGAGAGAGAAACAAGTGCACAAGAAGTCTGTGTGAGATCCAGAGGTGGCATGGCCGTCTATCCCATCCAGTCAGGTCTCCAAGAACACCCCACTGCCCACCAGACTCTTGTCAAGGAAGGCTTCCAGAAAGAGGCAATGCCTGGGCTGCTTGGTACAATCTCTATTTTACTGATAAGGAAACTAGTTAAGAGAAGACTGGGGATTTGTCCAGACACAGAACCAGGATTCAAAAGCCTAGGCAGGTCTCTTGAAGTACAGAGCCCTTGGCCAATGCAGGACTTGGCGCTGCCTCTGGTCTGATGAAGGAGGCACAGGCCTGTCCTTGGGGAGCTCCTAGTCTCTTAAGACCATGGACATGTTCTGTCTCCATTGGGATGCCAGGCAGTCATCCCTCCCACACACGTGTACATACTCTTCACCTTCAAAGATTCAGGGACACACACACACACATCAGGAGACCCTGGACCACATACAGAGCAACCACCTCAGAATGAAACTGGACACAGACTTTTTCTCACCCTTCAAGGCCCCACCCCACTCAGACATCCTTCCCTGATCAAACCTTCCCCAAATCCCTGAGGCAGCGGGTGGACTCCTCCTCTGGTCTCCCAAGTCCTTGCATATTGTCACCACAGCACTTCCAACTCTGGGTGCATGTGGATCTATGGATCTATGACTAGACTATGAGCTTTTGGGAACAGGGATCCATTTTATTTACATTAGTATCCCCAGCACCTGGCACAGTACCTGGCATTTTGTAATGCTCCCTAAGAGTTTGCTAAATTAATATGTGAATAGGAAAGTGAACAGACAAAGGAACAAGGACCAGTTTTCTAAGTGCCCTCCCATGGAGGAAGGCAGCTCAAAGAACAACAGGGCAACACAGGCCAGCGTATGACGGGGCTAAGGGCTTGCCAGTGGGCTGGGAAGCAGGGTGGGCTCAGGAGGAGGGAAGGGTTGGAAAGGACACAACATGAGGCCAGGACAGGGAGCAGGCCCAGGCAACCAGCAAAGGTGAAACAGAGCACTCAGGAGCCTGGGCGAGCGAGGCTCAGCAAGGAAGACAGTAGGCATGGGTGTGGAAGCGGGGCTGGCAGAGCGCAAAGGCTGGGCCAGACCACCTGGACAGCAGAGAAGCTGATGAGAGGAAGAACTTTCCACAGGAAAGGTTTTTTCAGAATGAGGCAGGCCTCCCCAGGACCCATCCCTAAGATTTGAGAATTTCATAAACAACTAGAGATCAATCTAAGACACCAGTATTTAAACAAATGCTGTGGGGCGCAGTGGCTCATGATGGTAATCCCAGCACTTTGGGAGGCCGAGGCAGGTGGATCACCTGAGGTCAGGAGTTCAAGACAACCCTGGCCAACATGGTGAAACCCCGTCTCTACTAAAAATACACAAATTAGCTGGGCATTGTGGTGGGCGCTTGTAATTCCAGCTACTCAGGAGGCTGAGGCAGGAGAATCATTTGAACCCAGGAGGCAGAGGTTGCAGTGAGCCGAGATGGCGCCACTGCACTCCAGTCTGGGCAACAAGAGCGAAACTCCATCTCAAAAAAAAAAAACAAAAAAAAACCCGACTCATGCTGCCAAAATGTGAAACTTACAAGGTTTTCCCAGAGGCACCCGCTGCCTGAAGGTGAACCATGGAAGTTCACGTGCGCCCACCTGCCTCTAACCTGCTTCCCCCTTGCGCTCTCTCTCTCTGTCTCCCTTCTACCCAGGCCAGAGCCATGGCCCACCCACCCCTCCAACCACCCCGAAGACAGAGCTGCAGTCGGGCAAGGCAGACCCGAAGCGGGACGGGCGCTCCATGGGGGAGGGCGGGAAGCCTCACATCGACTTCGGCAACGTGGACATTGGTGAGATCAGCCACGAGGTAATGTCCAACATGGAGACCTTTGATGTGGCTGAGTTGGACCAGTACCTGCCGCCCAATGGGCACCCAGGCCATGTGAGCAGCTACTCAGCAGCCGGCTATGGGCTGGGCAGTGCCCTGGCCGTGGCCAGTGGACACTCCGCCTGGATCTCCAAGCCACCAGGCGTGGCTCTGCCCACGGTCTCACCACCTGGTGTGGATGCCAAAGCCCAGGTGAAGACAGAGACCGCGGGGCCCCAGGGGCCCCCACACTACACCGACCAGCCATCCACCTCACAGATCGCCTACACCTCCCTCAGCCTGCCCCACTATGGCTCAGCCTTCCCCTCCATCTCCCGCCCCCAGTTTGACTACTCTGACCATCAGCCCTCAGGACCCTATTATGGCCACTCGGGCCAGGCCTCTGGCCTCTACTCGGCCTTCTCCTATATGGGGCCCTCGCAGCGGCCCCTCTACACGGCCATCTCTGACCCCAGCCCCTCAGGGCCCCAGTCCCACAGCCCCACACACTGGGAGCAGCCAGTATATACGACACTGTCCCGGCCCTAAAGGGGGCCCTGTCGCCACCACCCCCCGCCCAGCCCCTGCCCCCAGCCTGTGTGCCCTGTTCCTTGCCCACCTCAGGCCTGGTGGTGGCAGTGGAGGAGGCTGAGGAGGCTGAAGAGGCTGACAGGTCGGGGGGCTTTCTGTCTGGCTCACTGCCCTGATGACCCACCCGCCCCATCCAGGCTCCAGCAGCAAAGCCCCAGGAGAACAGGCTGGACAGAGGAGAAGGAGGTTGACTGTTGCACCCACACTGAAAGATGAGGGGCTGCACCTTCCCCCAGGAATGACCCTCTATCCCAGGACCTGAGAAGGGCCTGCTCACCCTCCTCGGGGAGGGGAAGCACCAGGGTTGGTGGCATCGGAGGCCTTACCACTCCTATGACTCCTGTTTTCTCTCTCACAGATAGTGAGGGTCTGACATGCCCATGCCACCTATGCCACAGTGCCTAAGGGCTAGGCCACCCAGAGACTGTGCCCGGAGCTGGCCGTGTCTCCCACTCAGGGGCTGAGAGTAGCTTTGAGGAGCCTCATTGGGGAGTGGGGGGTTCGAGGGACTTAGTGGAGTTCTCATCCCTTCAATGCCCCCTCCCTTTCTGAAGGCAGGAAGGAGTTGGCACAGAGGCCCCCTGATCCAATTCTGTGCCAATAACCTCATTCTTTGTCTGAGAAACAGCCCCCAGTCCTCCTCCACTACAACCTCCATGACCTTGAGACGCATCCCAGGAGGTGACGAGGCAGGGGCTCCAGGAAAGGAATCAGAGACAATTCACAGAGCCTCCCTCCCTGGGCTCCTTGCCAGCTCCCTCTTCCCTTACTAGGCTCTATGGCCCCTGCTCAGTCAGCCCCACTCCCTGGGCTTCCCAGAGAGTGACAGCTGCTCAGGCCCTAACCCTTGGCTCCAGGAGACACAGGGCCCAGCACCCAGGTTGCTGTCGGCAGGCTGAAGACACTAGAATCCTGACCTGTACATTCTGCCCTTGCCTCTTACCCCTTGCCTCCCAGTGGTATTTGAATAAAGTATGTAGCTATATCTGCCCCTATTTTCCTGTTCTGCAGCCCCCCAAATCCACATGTAACTCATTACTGTCTCCTGTTATTTATCTCAGTAGTCCCCTCTCCTAGCCACTCTAGCCCCTATTAACTCTGCATTAAGCATTCCACATAATAAAATTAAAGGTTCCGGTTACCTGCTTGGTGAGCCTGACCTGGCCTGTCTCTTCATCTCTTATCCCTGTACTGGTGCTTCCTCAAATGCTTTCTGGAAGTAGCTAGGAGTAGAATGCAAAGGATAGATCATCAAAGGTCTCTCTCTCCCACCTCCCTCCCTCTTTCCCCACCCCCTTCCCCTCCCCCCTCCTCTCTCTCTCCCCCCTCCCTTCTCTCCTCTCTTTCTCTCTCTCTCTCCCCCCTCCCCCTCTCCTTTCTCTCTCTCTCCCCCCTCCCACTCTCCTCTCTCTCTTTCTGTCTCTCTCCCTGCTAAGAAAGTGGGAACAATGGAGAGTGTTAGGACAGCTGGCATCCCAGTGGGGTCCATCTGAGCTCAGGGACTGAAGCCTCAGATGGGAACTTCTCCCCAGCCCGGCGGCTATGCCCCACACTGCAGGGGGGCCACTCACTCTTAACTGGCTCAGCTAGAACTCACTGCCTTGCAAGCAGCCCCTCTGCTCACCCAGCACTCAGCAGACGGGAGTTTGCAAAGAATTCAAGAGACAGGTATCTGAAGAGGAGGAGGTGGGCTGAGGGTGACACCGTGCTGCCTGCAGTCAGAGGCCTGTCCTTCAGGATGTGTGGATAGGCCCTGTGTTGCTGCATCCCCCCACTTGCCACCTCCCCCAGCACACACACAGCAGCCCACGCCAGGATCTAGCCAAGCCTTCACAGCAGGTGCCCATGTCCAAGTCCAGACCAAGGATGTCAGACAGTCTACTCCTTAAGCGCCTACTCCCTAAGAGCTCTTTCCTCAGCAGAAGTCCAAACTGCACCCAGAGGCCAGGACCACTCCACCTCACAAGCACACAACTCCAAAGACTCTTTGCCATCTTGCTCCACTGATGAACAACTCCGATGGTTGGAAGTTCTTCCTCATACCCAGCTCATAACAGCTTATATCCAGCTGCCATTTACTAAGTGCTCCACCAAGGGTTTTATGTCATTCAGGCCAGTGAAGGGGTAGGTCCGATCGTTATCTCAATTTTCCAGATGGGGAAACTGAAGTTTGCGAGGCTGATGCTAAGAAGTGCTGGTGCCAGAATCTGAACCCAGCTCTGACTCCAAGGCTTGCATTTTTAACCATCATCCCCTCCACCTGCCTGTGGTTTGCAGCCCCTGCTTCTGCTTTGTATCTGGAGCAATGCATCTTCCACTGCTCCAGACTGGGCATCCTCAGCTCCCTTCCTTCCATCTGCGGTCTCCAGCCCCTAGTCAGGACCAGGGGAGAGGCAGGGCACCAAGAAGTAGCCCAGTCCCCAGGGTGGCCAAAATCCCTCCATCTAGGACCTGCATCATGGAAGCTCTTCAAGCAACCTCCCCAAAACTGCTGGTTCCCGTGAAGCTGGATGGTAACCGAAACCCCGATCTTTTAGACAATATCCATTGCAAAGTCATATCCAAATTGTATGTATGCTGTTTTTGTTTTGTTTTAGATAAAAGCAGGACTTTACACTGATCTTTAACAGATCTCACCTTGTTGGGTTTGACCCATTTCCCCACCTGTATTAAACTTTTTAGAACTTAGCTCTCCTTTAGAGCTTTATGTATCTGCAAACTTGAATAGCCTCATTCAAGTCACTAATAAAGGTCGAAATGAAGAGGGACACCTGTGTACAGCATTAAACGCCTCTCTCCACTGTCAGTCCTATTATCTCCACTCTTTTTTTTTTTTTTTTTTTTTTTTAGATGGAGTCTTGCTCTGTTGCCAGGCTGGAGTGCAATGTTGCAATCTTGGCTCCCTGCAACTTCTGTCTCCTGGGTTCAAGTGCTTCCCCTGCCTCAGCCTCCCGAGTAGCTGGGACTACAGGTGTGCACCACCACGCCCAGCTAATTTTTTTTTTTTTTTTTTAAGTAGAGACAGGGTTTCACCATGTTGTCTAGGATGGTCTCAATCTCCTGACCTCATGATCCGCTTGCCTCGGCCTCCTAAAGTGCTGGGATTACAGGCGTAAGCCACCGCACCTGGCCTATTATCTCCACTCTTTTTTTTTTTTTGAGACGGAGTCTCTCTCTGTCGCCCAGGCTGGAGTGCAGTAGCGGGATCTCGGCTCACTGCAAGCTCCGCCTCCCGGGTTCACGCCATTCTCCCGCCTCAGCCTCCCGAGTAGCTGGGATTACAGGCGCCCGCCACCACACCTGGCTAATTTTTTGTATTTTTTAGTACAGACGGGGTTTCACTGTGTTAGCCAGGATGGTCTTGATCTCCTGACCTCGTGATCTGCCAACCTCAGCCTCCCAAAGTGCTGGGATTACAGGTGTGAGCCACCACGCCCAGCTATTATCTCCACTCTTGAGGCTGTCTAATCAGTTCTAAAACTGTCTAATTACATCACCATGAAGCACACACTTCTCTGTCACAGTGGCATGGAGACTACTGATGCCTTGTCAAAATCAAGATTCACTGATCTCTGGCATTCTCTCAACCTACTGGACCAGTAACCATCGAAAAAAAAACTTATTTGGCAATATTGGTTCTTAGACACCCTATGCTAGTGCCCGATCTCCTCTTTATTATATAAGCACTTTTAAACATGGAGGGACCTATTCTAGAATTTTGTCATGGATCAATCAGTACTAACCTTATGTGTTTATAATCTTTACAACCCACCCTTTCCCCTTCATTGAAAGGCAGGACTTTTGTCCATTTGTGGTCTGTTCACTACTCCTGCTCGCCGTGGGATGAGGGATATGGAGCTGGCACAGTGGGGAGCAGGGGGCACATCCGGAAGATGACACTATCACCTCCAAGACCCCACATCTCATGAGAGTGAGTGGGAAATCACTGAGGATGTGGAAGGAGGGGAAATGACCCCAAGGAAGTCAGAAGACCTGGGTTGTGTGCATCCCTTAGACCAAAGGTTCCAAGTGTGCACAGGCCTCAGGAAGGCAGGAGCTCCACTTGTTAAAAAAGGGTCAGGTGTTTCTGGAAATGACTCAAGAGACTATGCCCAAACCCTAAGAAAACAGAACCAATAGTGGTGACCGGGACATTTTATTCAAGAGAAGTCAAAAGCCAGGCCCAGACAGCTGAATAGCAGGGGACTCCCCAAAAGAGGAGAATGGGAAGAGGAAGACAGGAGGAAAAACACCCCTTCTGTCCCATTTCCCTTGCACTCTATCCCCTAAGGGTTAACCCCCAATTCCCCTCCTCCCCAGCCCAAACCCCATCTCCCTTTAATCACATCTGATACTGAGCAGCCCAGCAGGGAACAAAGAGACCATTTAGAGAAATGGGGCCGAGAAAGTGACCCCCGCACTCTGGGGCGGCTGCCTGGATGCCAGCACAAAGGCGGCATTTCAGAGCTGAAATTTCAGCACCCAACTTGATTAAAGGATTCCACAGGCTTGGAGGAGGGTGGATGGGAGTGTGAAGTCCACTGCTCCCTGAATTAACCCTTCTCCAGGGCAGCGGACACCCCTCCCACCAATGCAGATCCTCACCATTCACTCCCCACATCCCATCCCAGGGCCAGGCTGCACCTAGGCCTGGAGGCCCTGCCTCCTGCAGAGGTTAGGGAAGCCCAGCTCCTCCTCTTTGAAGGGGAGCTGGCAGTGGAATGGAGGTTAAGGCTGGCATATTCAGGGAGCCAGTTTACCCTCTATCCCTGTTCATGTCAATATACACCCTCCCCCTGACCCCCTCTAGGAGGGAGGAGCCAGTGTGACTGGTCTTACCTCAGGTTGGGTAAGCAGGGTGGAGAAAGGAAGAGGACCCATTAGAACCTCAGGCAGAGGAAGGGGGAACTCCAGCTCTGACTTAATGTAACACCTGGAACCCAGGAGCACCACCACCCCAGCACCATGTCCCCAAGGCCTCAGGGGATCACCAGCCCCAAATAGGAGGGAAAGGATATCTTATAGAGGCTAGGAAGAAGGCATGGGTGTGGCACACCAAAGAGGTGGGCCACAGAGGACAGCGTGTGGGCAGAGTCCTGAGGAGGAGTGGGGACAGAGCCATGGGGGCAGGGGTAGGCAGGTGCTCGGTCCTTGCTCCAGCTGCTGACTTGCCCAGCAGGGCTCTGCCTGGGGAGGGTGGGAGATCAGCACACCCCCACGCTTCCTGCTGGGGCACTGCTCCTGAAAGGGGATCCGAGCCCACGATAAGAGGCTCGAAGCAGGTCCTTAGGAAACAATGGGTGGCTTGATGAGACCTGCTCTGTGATACTCCTGAGAAGGGAGAAGCCCCTGCAGCCAGTCCCCACTGGAAAGGAAATTGGGGGTTTCCGTGGCAACCAGCTCCCTGGGCACAAAGACTTGTCTGTCTGCTTGGAAGGCAGCTGAGGTGTCTCCCCTGCAGCAGCCTTTGCTCTGGGGAACAGGGAGATGGAGGGAAGGATGTGGGGGATCCAAAGGGGCTAAGGGCCCCTGGTGCTTCTTAAGGAGCTGACAGTCACAGGGCCACTGGAATAGGTGCATGCTCCACGCAGCATGGCGGTAACGGGGAAGCAACAGGTGGTGACATTGCAGATAAGCAGAGGGGAAGGGGGTTGGAAAGTTGAATATTTTATTATTTACACATATAAAGTGAGAATGAAAATTGGGCATGGGGCAAGGGCAGGAAGATGACTCCAGCTCAGTCGGTGATGATGAGCTCGTCCACCCCCCAGTCTTCATAGCTCCCATCTGGCAGGTAACGGCGAATGATGATGGGGATCTTTCGGGCCCTGTGGCAGGGGAGAAGTCACAAGTACATGAGGGCTGGTGACCCCAGCTCTGCCGCAGAAGGAACAGATTGTGTGCAAAACACAAGCAAAGAGAAGTCTTAGGAGCAGCCTCTTGGGGCTGATGAGTGTACTTTGTAAGAAAGCAATTACAAGAAAAAGAAAGTTTTTATATCAGACAAGAGGGGGAAGAATGACAGAATATTGGTAAGGCCTCCTGCAGCAGGAACAGGGAAATTCCAACAGCCAGAAGACGTCCATGTCTCATCAGTGCCCTCCCACTTTCCCTGCCTCCTCTTCTCTCTTCCTCCTACTTCCTGGTGAGCTGTTCCTAAGGATCTGTAGGAATAAGCATCAACTTCTCCAGCCAGGCAAGTGGGAGCAAAGGGTGCAACAGAGAGCCCAACAGATGCCTCCCAGAGATTTGGAGAAGTGAACCATGATTTGAGTGACTTACTTGAGTTCCTTCATGGCAATGAGCAGAGGATCTGTCTCCCCCTCCAGCTCCACCATCACAGGGGCACACATCCTGTAGGGATAGGGACAGGTGTTAGGGAGACTACAAACCCAGGGAGAAGGGCCCAACAGGCAGTGAGGGTGGAACGGCATCCTGGTCCCCACCTAGAAACGTCATCTTCTAGGTAGGCAGGCACAGTAGGGAGTGGTGTGTAGGGGCACTGCCAGAGATCTTCCCTGGCAGAGGCCTATCACAGACTCCGGAGTCCAGCGGCCACAGCAGAATGTCCTGGTGGAAAGGGAGACATGTGCAAAGGCACACCATTCTAACTGCTCCAACCCCAGAGCCTTGCCTCAGTGCCCAGTGCACCTCATTTCAATTTCTATTTTCTCTCTCTACTTTTTGGAGACAAGGTTTCACTCCCATTGCCCAGACTGGAGTGCAATGGGGAGATCGTGGCTCACTGCAACCTCCACCTCCCAGGCTCAAGCAATTCTCCTGCTTGGGACTACAGGCATACACCACCAGCTATGCTAATTTTTTTATTTTTTGTATAGATGGGTGAAATTAACATTTCGCCATGTTGCCCAGGCTGGTCTCGAACTCCTGGGCTCAAGCAATCCGCCTGCCTCAGCCTTCCAGATTGCTGGGATGAAAGGCATGAGCCACCATGCCCGGCATCATTTCCATTCTCTATAGACACAACACCTCAGTAGAGGCCCTGCCCTTCCTGCCCAGCCCTCCCCACCCTTCACCTGAGGCCAGCAGTCAGGGGGCTCACCTGCTTACAACACTGTCATGACTCCCCTTGGCTATCAGGCCAGAGTGCAGTCTGGTCCCTGTTTGCCTTCCTAGCACAGTCCCGTGCTACTTTCCTGTATTTACTCCACATTCCAGCCATACCAAACTATTTCTGGTTCCCTAGATGCGCCATGTTGTTTCCCTTTTGTGTGCTCTTACAAGCTCTTCCTCTCCCTAAAAACCTGCGAGAGGTTCAGATGTCTCCACCCTGGAAATCGTGTGCTGACTCTTCAGTACCTGGACTCATTTTGCATATACTTTTCTTGGCACCAATCTCATTGAACTGTAACTACTTGTTTGGAAACTTTCCACATTAGACCATGAGCTCCTAGTGGCCCAGAACCACATGTGATTCACCACGGAGGCCCAGCCCCCAGCATAACACTTGGCCCACAGTGGGGACTCTACCACCAAGCAAAGGGATGCCAATTCTAGGCCCATCTCCTCTAGGAAGCCACCCCTGATGATTCCAGCTCAGGTTCACACCAACAAATCCAGAATTAACAGGAGAGCATGCTAAAAAATACAGGTTCCTGGGTCCTTCCCCAGACCCCCGGAATAGAATCTCTAGTGAAGCGGCCTGAGAGCCTGCATTTGCAAAACTGCCCAGATGATTCTGATAATCAGCTAGTCTGAGAGCTACCAGCTTACTAATTTTATTACTAAATATTTCGATTTATATTACTCCCAAAAGCCTGAAAATTTCCCAAGGGCAGAGATGAAGTATTTAACTTTCCCTATATCCTCTCTTAATAAGTATTTAAACTTTCCCAAAATATAAAGCTTTAAAGAATGTGGCAAAATACCTGATCTGCATGTGCCTGCTTTCTTTCAAAATATAAATAATTCAAGGGCATTCACTCATTCCGCACCTATTATGCACATGGAATGTGCAAGAATGTGTCCTTAAGTAATTTAATTTTTCTTGCACCATGGCTTCTACAGAGAAACACATCAACCATCCAGTTAAGAAGTAGATGTGACAAACATCATCAGCCACCAGGTGGTGCTAATGAACCAGACTGAAACCCCATCCAAAACCTACCCAACAAACAGTTGTTCTGGCCAGGTGCAGTGGCTCACGCCTCTAATCACAGCACTTTGGGAGGCTGAGACAGGTGAATCACCTGAGGTCAGGAGTTTGAGACCAGCCTGGCCAACATGGTGAAACCCCGTCTCTACTAAAAATACAAAAAATTAGCCGGCCGTGGTGGCACATGCCTGTAGTCCCAGATACTCGAGAGGCTGAGGCATGAGAATCGCTTGAACCAGGAGGTGAAGGTTGCAGTGAGCCGAGATGGCACCACTGCACTCCAGCCTAGGTGACAGAGTGAGACTCCACCTGCACCTACCAAGTGCAGAGTCCCATTATGGCTGTACAAGAGCTTACAGCAGGCAAGGAGCCACCAGATGGTGTCATAGCCCTTAAGTGGAAAGAGCACTAAAGACTGGAATGAGCTGGATCAAGCTTTGCTCCCCAAGAAAAACAGGACACTTGGCTGGGCACAGTGGCTCACGCCTGTAATCCCAGCACTTCGGGAGGCCAAGGCAGGTGAATCACCTGAGGTCACGAGTTCAAGACCAGCCCGACCAACATGGTGAAACACCGTCTCTACTAAAAATACAAAATATTAGCCAGGCATGGTGGCGTGTGCCTGTAATCCCAGCTACTCAGGAGGCTGAGGCTGGAGAATTCCTTGAACCCAGGAGGCAGAGGTTGCAATCAGCCAAGATCATGCCATTGCACTCCAGCCTGGGCAACAAGAGCAAAACTCCATCTCAAAAAAAAAAAAAAAAGAAAGAAAGAAAGAAAAGAAAAACAGGACACTTGGATTTATGAGTGGCCTGGATGCTGGATGTTGGCCTCAAAACCTTTAAGTGCTGCACACTGCCCACCAAATGAACTCTAATCTTCTGAACCTGTCACTCACAGGACCAGTGTCATCTTCTCCAGCCTTATGCCCCAAGCTGCTTATGATCCCTCATCACAAATCCACAACTGCCTGCCTCCACCTGGACCTTTCCTTGGGCTGTTTCTGGCACCTGGAGTACCCACAAAACCAACTCTCTTTACCTGTCCCCACTAGAATTCTAATCCCTTCACAAGGCTTTCCCAGTCACCTCTGCAATAACTCTCTTTGTACCTTTCATAAAGCACCACTCGCATCTGCCTTGGGTTGTGGGTACCTGTGCACAGGTCTATCTCCCCCACCAGAAAACACCTGGAGGACTGGGGATTATGTCTTTTTTTTTTTTTTTAATTATTTTTGGTAACAGAGTCTCACTCTGTCACCCAGGCTGGATTAGTGGCACGATCTTGGCTCAGTGCAACCTCCGCCTCCCAGGTTCAAGCGATTCTCTTGCCTCAGCCTCCCGAGTAGCTGGGATTATAGGCGCGCGCCACCACACCCGGCTAATTTTTGTATTTTTAGTAGAGACGGGGTTTCACCATGTTGGCCAGGCTGCTCTCGAACTCCTGACCTCAGGTGATCCGCCCACCTTGGCCTCCCACAGTGCTCGGATTCCAGGCGTGAGCCACCGCGCCCGGCTGGGACTACATCTTTAATCATCTCAGCATCCTATCAAGTGCTAATGCAGTATCTTTCTTCAGTGCTGAAAGACTGTTTAACTTGCAAATAAGCAGTCTATTTGTTTTAAAAATAACTTATGAATTCTTCTTTCTACTGGGCCACTTTTAGCCTATATTAGTGTGCCCCATAGAATGCTCTGCAATGACAGAAATGTCCTATCCCCCTGTGCTATCCTTTATGGTAACCAGTAGCCACATGTGGCTACTGAACACACTTGAAATGTGGCTAGTTGTAATCCCAGCACTTTGGAGGCTGAAGCAGGGGGATCACTGGAAGCCAGGAGTCTTTTTGTGAGACCCTGTCTCTACAAAAAATTAAGACATTAGCCACGTGTGGTGGCATTAGCCTGTAGTCCTAGCTACCTGGGAGGCTGAAGTGGGAAGATCACTTAAGCCTAGAAGTTTTGAGGCTGCAGTGAGCTATGATAGCACCACTGCACTCCAGCCCGGGTGATAGAGCCAAACTGTCTCTAAAAAAATAAAAGAAAAGGCTGGGCGTGGTGGCTCATGCCTGTAATCCCAGTACTTTGGGAGTCTGAGGCAGGAGGATCACCTGAGATCAGGAGTTCAAGACCAGCCTGGCCAACGAACATGGTGAAACCCCGTCCCTACTAAAAATACAAAAATTAGCCAGGCGTGGTGGCGGGTGCCTGTAATCCCAGCTACCCGGGAAGCTCAGGTTGGAGAATCACTTGAACCCGGGAGGCGGAGGATGCAGTGAGCCAAGATCACACCACTGCACTCCAGCCTGGGTGACAGAGTGAGACTCCTTCTCAAAAAAAAATAAATAGGCTGGGCGCAGTGGCTCACGCCTGTAATCCCAGCACTTTGGGAGGCCGAGGCAGGCAGATCACAAGGTCAGGAGATCGAGACCATCCTCGCTAACACGGTGAAACACCATCTCTACTAAAACTACAAAAAATTAGCCGGGCGTGGTGGCAGGTGCCTGTGGTCCCAGCTACTGGGAAGGCTGAGGCAGGAGAATGGCGTGAACCCGTGAGGCAGAGCTTGCAGTGAGCCAAGACTGTGCCACTGCACTCCAGCCTGGGTGACAGAGCAAGACTCCGTCTCAAAAAAAATTAAATAAATAAATAAAAGAAAAAGAAGTGTGGCTGGCTAGTGAGAAAGAAACTGAATTTCTAATTTTATTTAATTGTACTTAATGTAAATGGACACATACAGTTCATGGCTACCATAGTTGATGGTGCAGGCCCAGAGGATCCTGACGTTGGTGGCATATTGGGTATGGCTGTCACACTGGGTGTGGCTCTAATGCCATGCATAAGAGCAAGGAGTGCAACCAGGCTGAGAAGAGGTCCGCTACTGAGGAATGGGGGAGAACAATGTTGTCCACCCATAAAACCCTTTATTGAAGTAGACATGATGGTCATCTTTACCCCTACAGGACTAGAGGAGGCAACAGCCCAGTGCTGCTTGAACACTAAGGAGGAGAATGTACAGACAGCATTTGCTGCCCCTGTAAGCACACAGAGTCCACAAATCTGGCCCCAGCTTTCCTTTGTTTTTTTTTTGTTTGTTTGTTTGTTTGTTTTGAGATGGAGTCTCTGTCACTCAGGCTGGTGTGCAGTAGTGCGATCACAGTTCACTGCAGCCTCAACCTCCTGGCCTTAGGTGATCCTCCCACGTCAGCCTCCCGAGTAGCTGGGACTACAGGCGCACGCCACCACACTCAGCTAATTTTTGTATTTTTTGTAGAGATGGGGTTTCACCATGTTGCCCAGGCTGATTTTGAACTTCTGGGCTCAAGCAATCCACCTGCCTCGTCCTCCCAAAGTGCTGGGATTACAGTTGTGAGCCACGGCACCCAGCTGCTTTTCTTTCTAGGCTAATTTCCATTATTCCCTACTTGAACTACCCCCGCTCCTCCAGATACCCACCATTTCCCACATCAGTCTATAGGGAGTTTGGGGTAGGGGCTCCTGTTCTCAGTCTCATGCTTCCCCACAGTACCATTAGAGTACCCCGCTCTGTCCCCTCACCTACTCCTCAAAAGAAAGGAGGAGGAACTATTCTGACAGGTGAGCCTGGGGGGAAAAAAAGCAGGCATCTGTGGCCCAGCCTCTTTGAAAGTCCCTGCTTTCTCAAAGCCATCTGTTGGCAGAGGGTGCTTCCAGTCTGTTCTCCAGTCTGCCCCAAACCTTAGCAGGCATCTGAAGGCCTGCACTGCCTATGGCTAACACATCTGCACTCATTGGACACTCGCATCTCCACCTGTCTACTCTATCTCCTGAATCTTTATTCTCCCAAATGTGGGAGAGGAGGGAAGTTTGCTGATTTTCAAATCCCCAAAACCCCACCACTGCTCTGTGCTTTCATCTCTCTAGCGTGCTTTCAAGCTGGAGGGCCCCCCACTCTGCTGGACTGGCCATAGTCTACCTCACATCAAGAACCACCTTAAAGCCAGGAATGGTTGCTCATGCTTGTAATCCCAGCTCCAGCACTTTGGGAGCTGAGGCAGGAGAATCACTTGAGGCTGAGTTCAAGACCAGCCTGGGCAACATAGCAAGACCCCTATCTCCACAAAAAATACAAAGCCAGGCATAGTGGCACATACCTGTAATCCCAGCTTGAAGCTACTTGGGAGGTTGAGACAAGAAAATTGCTTGAGCCGGCCAGGCGCGGTGGCTCATGCCTGTACTCCCAGTACTTTGGGAGGCCAAGGCAGGTGGATCACAAGGTCAGGAGATGGAGACCATCCTGACTAACACCGTGAAACCCCATCTCCACTAAAAATACAAAAAAATTAGCCAGGCGTTGTGGTGGGCACCTGTAGTCCCAGCTGCTTGGGAGGCTGAGGCAGGAGAATGGCGTGATCCTAGGAGGTGGATATTGCAGTGAACCGAGATCACGCCACGGCACTCCAGCTTGGGCGACAGAGCGAGACTCCATCTCAAAAAAAAAAAAAAAGAAAAAAGAAAATTGCACCGGCCGGGCACGGTGGCTCACGCCTGTAATCCCAACATTTTGGGAGGCCAAGGCGGGTGGATCACAAGGTCAGGAGTTTGAGACCAGCCTGGCCAATATGGTGAAACCCCGTCTCTACTAAAAATACAAAAATAGCCGGGCACGGTGGCTCACGTCTGTAATCCCAACACTTTGGGAGGCCGAGGCGGGCGGATCATGAGGTCAGGAGAAAGAGACCAACCACCCTGGCTAACATGGTGAAACCCCGTCTCCACTAAAAATACAAAAAGCTAGCTGGGCACGGTGGCGGGCGCCTGTAGTCCCAGCTACTCTGGAGGCTGAGGCAGGAGAAGGGCGTGAAGCCAGGAGGCAGCACTTGCAGTGAGCGGAGAACGCGCCACTGCACTCCAGGCTGGGTGATAGAGCGAGACTCCATCTCAAAGAAAAAAGAAAAAATACAAAAATTAGCCAGGTGTGGTGGTGGACGCCTGTAGTCCCAGCTACGCGGGAGGCTGAGGCAGGACAATCGCTTGAACCCGGGAGGCAGGGGTTGTACTGAGCTGAGATTGGGCCAGTGCACTCCAGCATGGGAGACAGAGCAAGACTCTGTCAAAAAAAAAAAAAAAGAAAAGAAAATTGCTTGAGCCCAGGAGTTTGAGGCTGCAATGGGCCATGATCAGGCCCCTGTGCTCCAGCATGGGCAACAGATTGAGATCTTGACTCGGAAAATAAAACAACAAAGAACCACCATGGCCGGGCGCGGTGGCTCTCACCTGCAATCCCAACACTTTGGGAGGCAGAGGCAGGTGGATCACTTGAAGCTAGGCGTTCGAGACTAGCCTAGGCAACATGGCGAGACCCCGTCTCTATTAAAAACACAACAATTAGTTAGGCATGGTGGCACATGCCTGTAATTCCAGCTACCTGGGAGGCTGAGGCACGAGAATCACTTGAACCTGGGAGGCAGAGGTTGCAGTGAGCTGAGATTGTGCCATTGCACTCCAGCCTAGGTGACTCAGCGAGACTCTATCTCAAAAAAAAAAAAAAAAAACTACACTGGTACACATTGGCTCTGAATTCACCTTTTTTGCTGCACTAATCTGACACGCAACCATCTAGTTCTGTTTTTTTTTTTTTATCGTTTTTCTCCCATATTGTTACTTGACTTCTCAGATGTTCATGTCCTAGTTCTCCTATTAGATCACAAGCTCCCTGAGGGCAGGGGACTAGCTCAATGCCTGGTACGCAGGGACGGCACCACTTTTGGAATGTGAGAGCAGAGAGTCTGTTTTCAGGTGCCAGGCTGGGAAAGATCAGCGGTACAAGAGCTTACTGTGGCCTGACAGATGGAGAAGACAGTGAAGGGGCAATCACTCACGCAATCTGGAGCGCTCGGGTGCCCAGCACGCGGGCTCGCTCGTACTTGGTCATGTATGGTGTGGTGATTCGCTTCTGGTTGGCCTGCGGTCGCTCCCCAGAGGGGAGGATCTCGACATTCTCCTGGCCTTCCTGGACACCAAGACAAAAAAGAGGGAAAGACTCAGGTGGCACTTTTGGGTTACAGGGAGAGTGATAATGACAACAATCACAATTCTCGCTACAGCCACCGTTAATGCTTACTGCATGCCAGGGGACCACATAACTGCTTCCTAACAACTCATGTAATCCTTACAATAACCTTATGAGGCAGGGATTACAGTTCTCATTTCAGAGGCTTGGAAAGTCAGCTAACCTGACCAAGCCTCAGACCTGGTAATGGAGGTCTGAGATTCCAGAGCTAACTGCCTCATCCAGAAGAGAGCAGAGGGCCTGGAGATGGGGTGGTATCAGAATGTTGGTCCTGTAAAAGAGGTCCTGGCACAAAAAAATTACCCTAAGCAGGAAGCTAGGAATAGTCTTCCCATCTTTCAGATAGGGGAGCTGAGCCAATGGGCCAAGTGGCTAGAAAAGTCAAGGTGAAGGCAGGAATATTTAACAATTACTTACTAAGCATTTGTCCTGAGCCAGATATTGTTAACAGATGCTGAGAAAGAAAGCTAGGAATTTCTGCTCTCAATTAATGGTCTAAAGGGGAGACAAGAGTAAACAGAGCAGGTGCTATGAAGGGTGCAACAGAGTTCCCGAGGAGGTGGGGACACCTCACTCACACTGGGGGTTAGGAAAACTCCAGGGATGAGGCTTGAGCTCACCTAGAAGGATGAGCAGGAGCTGTCAAACCAATGAGGAAGGAGGCAACATGCAAAGGCATAGAGGAGAAAGAGGTTTGGACAACTAGTTGTGGACAATAATTAGAACAAAAGGTGCGTAGAGGATTGTAGGCAAGAGAATAAATTCTGTGGTATATAAAGAATTAAGTAAACAGGCCAGGCGCAGTGGCTCACACCTGTAATCCCAGCACTTTGGGAGGCCGAGGCGGGCGGATCACAAGGCAGGAGATCGAGACCATCCTGGCTAACACGGTGAACCCCGTCACTACTAAAACTACAAAAAAAAAAAAAATTAGCCGGGCGTGGTGGTGGGCGCCTGTAGTCACAGCTACTCAGAAGGCTGAGGCAGGAGAATGGCATGAACCCGGGAAGCAGAGCTTGCAGTGAGTCAACATCGCCCCACTGCGCTCCAGCCTGGGCGACAGAGCAAGACCCCGTCTCAAAAAAAAAAAAAAAAAAAGTTGACTCTGAGCTGGGCATGGTGGTGCAGAACCTGCAGTCCCAGCTACTCAGGAGGCTGAACTGGAAGGATCACTTGAGCCCAGGAGTTCAAGGCTGTAGTGCGCTATGACCACACCTGAAAATAGCCATTGTACTCTAGCCTAGACAACGTAGCAAGACACCACTTCTTAATTTAAAACAAGCAAACAAACAACAACAACAACAACAAAAAACAGAAAGAAAGGATCACTCTGGATACTCTGTTGCGAATATTCTGCAGGGGGCAGTGGCAGAAGCAGAGAGGCCATTTAGGAAAGCCAGTAGTAACTGAGCATGTGGGCAAGTAAGAAAGGGTGCTGAAAGGAGAAGAGCACACAGAGCAGAGTCTGGAGTGAGACTGAAGCAGGAAAACCAGCCACACAATTCCTGCAGGAATGTGGCTGAAAAGCAATAAGATCTAAGCCAGGTTAAGGCACCAGGAGTAGAAAAATGCAGACAGGGCTGAAGTACATCTAGGAGGCACAATCTACATGACAGGGATGGGAAGGGGACCAGAAGGATGGAGAAGGACGCATCTGACTCAAGTGAAAAGGTATCTGAAAGTGCCATGCAGAGAGAGAGAAGGCTCCATGTCTCTCCAGAACATAACTGCATTTTTTCCCTCATCAGTCACACAAGACAGAAAGCCCTACTTTCCTCTTGAGGCTGGCAACCTATCCACCTAGTTGCTCAAGCCAGAAACCTGAGAGTCGTCCTCGTCACCACTCACTTTCTCAGCCCCATAACCAACCCACCGAAATAACTCTTTTATCTGCCTTCTCATCACCTGCACTACCAGCACCTATGTCCAAGCCACAGGCCTCTCACCTTTCACTCTTGCCCTTCCCCAGTTCACTCCTTACTCGAGGCAGGAATGTACTTTCTAAAATGTAACCTGGACTGTGCCCTGGCTCAAAGTTTGTCAGTAGCTTCCCATTGCCTTTAGGCTACAAAATACTGCCTCATCTGAGCCCTGCTTACCTCTTCCCTTTGCTCCTTAAGCAGTCCCACCCAGCAGAAAGCACCTGGCATATAATAAACATTCAACACATGTTTGCCAAATGAAGGAAGGCACCGTTTAACTTGTCAGTGAACTAACTGCCCCAGAAGCCACAGGCTGTGGACCACATGGACAAAAGCTTTCAGGCCCACCCTGCAGGGCTGTTCTGCTATGCAAGACTGGAACACAGCTCACTCTAACTGGGAATGCTTATGGCAGGGGCCTTGACCACAAATAGAAGGCAGACACATTCAGCTAATCATCACCTGTCAGACGATTTGGCAGCTTGGGCTGCAGAGGTGGGAGCCTGAGGCTGAATACTGACCTCTTCGGCATTCTCCAAGTCATCTAGCCCTTCATCCTCCTCCACATCATCAAAGTCGTCGCCATCAAAACTGTACAGGAAGAAGAGATCAGTTACTTAGAGCATCACTTAAAAGAATCAAAGAGGGGCCAGGCACGGTGGATCACACTTGTAATCCTGGTACTTTCGGAGATTGAAGTGGGCGGATCACTTGAGGCCAGGAATTCAAGACCAGCCTGGCCAACAAGGCAAAACCCCATCTCTACTAAAAATACAAAAATTAGCCGGGCATGGTGGCACATGTCTGTAATACCAGCTACTTGGGGGGCTGAGTCACAAGAATTGCTTGAACCCAGGAGGTGGAGGTTGCAGTGAGCCAAGATTGCACCACTGTACTCCAGCATGGGTGACAGAACAAGAACCTGTCTCAAAATAAATAAGAAAAATTAAAAAAAAAAAAAATTCAGAGGCCGGGCATGGTGGCTTTGTATTGTGGCTCTGGGATTAAGCCTGTAATCCCAGCACTTTGGGAGGCCAAGGCGGGTGGAGTTCAAGGCCAGCCTGACCAACATGATGAAACCCCGTCTCTACTAAAAATACAAAATTAGCCGGGAGTGGTGGTGGCACATGCCTGTAATCCCAACTACTTGGGAGGCTGAGGCAGGAGAATCACTTGAACCCAGGAGGCGGAGGTTGTGGTGAGCTGAGATCACGCCATTGCACTCCAGCCTGGGCAACAAGAGTGAAACTCCGTCTCAAAACCCCCCCCCGCCACCGCAAAACAAAAAACAAACAAAAAAAAAATCAAAGAGGGCAGAGATCTGTGTCTCGCCCAGTATGTAGGAAGCACTCAATAAATATTTACTTAATAAGTAAATCAGCTGAGTGCAGTGGCTCACGTCTGTAATCCCAGCACTTTGAGAGGCCGAGGTGGGTGCATCACTTGAGGTCAGGAGTCCAAGACCAGCCTGGCCAACATGGAGAAATCTCGTCTCTGCTAAAAATACAAAAAAATTAGCCGGGTGTGGTGGTGGGCGCCTGTAATCCCAGCTACTCAGGAGGCTGAGGCACAAGAATTGCTTGAACCCGAGAGGCGGAGGGTGCACTGAGCCACGGTCACCCCACTGCACTCCAGCCTGGGTGACACAGCGAGACTCCTTCTCAAAAAATAAAAAATAATAATAAGAAGAAGAAGTAAATCCGACTTTTGTTCCATTTTACCCCTTCAATTTTTCCCCATCTGCCCCCAAATATTGCTAGTACTCATTCATCATCACTGTTTCCCTCTCTACTGGATCATTCCCATCAGCATTTTTTTTTTTTTTGAGACAAAGTCTCGCTCTGTTGTCCAGGATGGAGTGCAATGGCGTGATCTTGGCTCACTGCAACCTCTGCCTCCTGGGTTCAAGCAATTCTCCTGTCTCAGCCTCCCGAGTAGCTGGGATTATAGGCACACGCCACCATGCCCAGCTAATTTTTGTATTTTTAGTAAAGATGGGGTTTCACCATGTTGACCAGGCTGGTCTCGAACTCCTGGCCTCAGGTGATCCACCCTCCTCGGCCTCCCAAAGTGCTGGGATTAGAGGTGTAAGCCACAGCACCCGGCCCCATCAGCATTTCAACATGTGCTTTTCCTCATCTAAAAAAAAAAAAAAAAAAACCCTTATTTCTCTTCTCTCTCCCCCTATAGCCCTAATTCCATGGTGTCCTTTGAAGCAAAAATGTGTGAAAGAGCTGTCCACCCTCACTATCTTCCTCTCTTCCCATTTTGTCATAATCTCACTCCAAAAAGCCTTTCACCCCAACAGCTCCATCAAAACCACTTTCCAAGCTCATTAATGATCTCCACGTTGCTAAATCCAATGGCCAACTCTCCTTCTCATTTAGCCTGATCTATCAGCTGGCACATTAGGCCACTTGCTCTCCTCACTTGACTCCAAGGACACCTCACCCTCTTGGTGTTCCCCCACCTCCCCGGCTTCTCTTTTCCCCCAAGCACTCAATGTCCAAATGCCCTAATGCTCAGCCACGGGTCATCTCCTCTTCTCTACTGACACTCACTGGGAATGGGGTAGCAATCCCACACGTTTCTTATTTTTATCTTCAGACTAGCTCTCTTTGCACCCACATATCCCACAGGTAATTTTTGGGCTCTATCTTTAAAATAGTAATATATCCAGAATTCAAAACCAGTTCTCACCACCTCTACTCCTACCACCCTACTATAAGCTACTGACTTCTCTCATCTAGATTACTACAAGCAGGCCGGGCACGGTGGCTCACGCCTGTGATCCCAGCACTTTGGGAGGCCGAGGCGGGTGGATCACAAGCTCAGGAGTTCGAGGCCAGTCTGGCCAACATGGTGAAACCCGTCTCTACTAAAACTACAAGCAATTAGCAAGGCGTGGTGGTGCACGCCCATAATCCCAGCTAGTCGGGAGGCTGAGGCAGGAGAATCCCTTGAACCCCGGAGGTGGAGGCTGCAGTGAGCCGAGATCGCGCCACTGCACTCCAGCCTGGGCGACAGAGCAAGACTCTGTTTCAAAAAAAAAAAAAAATTACTGCAAAGGACCGTCCCAGACTTTTATTTAATGCCACCCGGTGGAGCTGCCCCAGACCCTCCTCTGGAGTACTCCTATACTACATACGTCTAGAACTGGGGAAGCTCACGCGACCACCGTTACCTGCTTGCTTGCTTACTTATGGGCCTGTGACCCCTTTTCTAGAAAGTGAGCACGTGGAGAGGCAGGGACGATTGTTCATTCACCTCAATATTCCCACTGCATGATACAGAGCCCGGCTCGCTGGAACATTTGCTGAAGGACACCTTTTCTACGGATCCCCTCTGGACCCTCGAGCCTGGGCCCTCCTGTGCCTCCAGCCGGGGCTGTGCTCCTGGGTCGCCCGCCCTTCCCTTCCTCGGCTCCGCCGGCCCCCTCAGGACCCCAGTCCCCTCAGACATTGCCCCTAGACGCCAGGCTCCTCAGCCGACCCAAGCCTTGCCTCATCCGCCCCTTCCAAGGTTGCCGCAAAGGCCACTCCGCTCCCGCACTCACTTGTCCTCGTTGTCTGACATGACACCCTCGCCTCAGCGACCCCGCTGCGCCCCGGTCCCGCGCGGAGACCCGCAAACAGCGACACTACGACTCGCGCGGCTCCTAGCTTATCTTGCGCCTGCGCCGTAACCCAGAGGAAATCACTTCCGGGAGGCAGGACAGAGCGGGGAAAGTGCGCATGCGCTGACTGGTGTGTGCGCGTTTCTATAGTAGCGAGAGGCGCTAGCTGCCAGCTCCAGCAGCCCAGATCGCGCAGTATTTCTGCGTGGCACCGGTGCGGATGCGGCTGTAAAGCAGTGGTCACCGCCTCCGGGAGCCCACTTCTATGTGGAGAGGGGAGCACCCAGAGAGGGTCTTAGGGTGAAATTTCAATTTTGGCATATCACTCAGTGGGTACTGTTGTGACCATGGCTGTGTTAACACTCCCTCCCGAGGAGACTTCCCTGCCACAGGCGCTGGGTCAGAATGAGGACTGTGTGTGTGTATCTGTGTGTCTGGATGGGAGGTTTGGGCACTGTCGCAATATTAACTGGCGGCATCATTCTCTGGCTCGATCCCCGCTTCCAGACTTCTGGGGGTGTTGGGCGTCGGGGAACAGAGATTAGGGACAGGAGACAGGGGGTGTGTCATTGCGTCTTTCCCTCCTCAGAGTCCTCCCATGGCTTCACAGAAGCAGATGGAGGTAGTGACCAAAGGAACTGGGTTCCGGCGCCGCCCCAAGACCATCACTTACACCCCGGGGACCTGCGAGCTGCTCAGAGGTCAGTCCGTTAAAGCAGCGATCCCAGCCTTTTTGGCACCAGGGACCGGTTTCGTGGAAGACAATTTTTCCACTGACGGAGGTGTGGGGAATGGTTTCGGGATGAAACTGTTCCACCTCAGATCATCAGGTATTAGTTAGATTCTCATAAGGAGCGTGCAACCTAGATCCCTCGCGTGCGCAGTTCACAATAGGGTTCGCGCTCCTATGAGAATCTAAGGCCGTCACTGACCTGAAAGGAGGCGGTGAGGCTCGCTAGCCTGCCGCTCACCTCCTGCTGTGCGGCCCGGTTCCTAACAGGCCAGGGACTGGTACCAGTCCACGGACGGAGGGTTGGGGACCCCTGAGTTAAAGGATGAGAGAAGAATGGTGGTAGTTACCCTCTGTAACTCAGTTCCCCCGTACCTGACCTGTGGCTTAGCACTATTTTCCTTTACAGATAAGGAGCCTGGGGTTCAGAAAGCTTCAAAATTCTACTGCATATGCCTTATTCGGGGGCGGGGCGGGGCGGGGGGGAGGGGAAGGTTCAAGGTGCTACACCTTGCCAAAAGTCAAAGAACTAAAATTTTTAGAGTAGTTAACTCCTATGCATCCTTTAGATCACACTTTCAACTTTCCCGAGGAAGACTTCTGCTCCTCACCACCACAGTAGGATCAACTGTTATGTGCCCTCACACATTTTCCTTCACTGGGCTTAGCACAAGCTGTAGTCAGTTATTTGGTGTCCCATCTATCCCTCCAGATCATGAATTTCATCAGGCAGGAACCGTGCCTGTTTCGGCCCACAATTGTAGCTCCAGCCCCTGAAACATGATGAACAAGTATTCATGTGTTCTTTTACTCAACAACTTTTTTGTTTTTTTCCAACAACAACATTTTTAAGTCTACCATGTGCCTTAGACTCTGTTTTAGGTGCTGGGGATACAGCAGTGAAAGAAAATGAGGTGGCTCAAACCGGTAATCCCAGCACTTTGGGAGGCCAAGGTGGGCAGATCACCTGAGGTTAGGAGTTCACGACCAGCCTGACCAACATGGAGAAACCCAGTCTCTACTAAAAGT